>NC_000003.12:196725564-196876563 GCF_000001405.40 Homo sapiens
CCAGAGGGGAGAGAACGTCATAGAGGCAGAACTGCAGAAATAACAGAAGGTTCCTTTCAAGTATGTAGCTGAGTATTTATCAGTGTGTATATGTTAGGAAACTACCTGATGCCAGGGAAAGAGCCATCTGACAAAATGAGCGGTAACAGTGTCTGGTACTCACACAGGGACAGGAGTAGTACCTCGTCCCAGCAACCAGACTGAGAAAAGCCTTATAATTTCTTGAACAATGGAAAAACAGAGAACTTTTACTCAGTAGCAGGGAATACTTAGCCACAAACTGAACATTGCTTTAGTCCTGCATAACAAATCTTAAAAACAAAACCTTAAAAAAATATCAAACTTTTTCTAAGTAACTTATCTGCATCCCAAACAAAGCTCAAGAATATGTATAGGGATATAGACATATCCAGCAAGATCAAATTAGCAATTTCTTGACTGTAATAATAAATTAGCAGCTAGGCAAGGATGGGGGGAAAAATGACCTATAATGAGGAGGTGAATCAATCAGTTAAAACCAATCCAGAATTGACCCAGATGTTAGAATTAACATCATCTCTACTAAAAATACAAAAAATTAGCCAGGCATGGTGGCGTGTGTCTATAGTCTCAGCTACTTGGGAGGCTGAGGTGGAAGGATTGCTTGAGCCTAGATGGTTGAGACTTCAGTGAGCCATGATCATGCCACTGCACTCCAGCCAGGGTGACAGAGTGAGACCTTGTCTTAAAAAGAGAAAATAAGAGGCTAGGTAAAAAAAAGAATAGGCAGCTCATGCCTATTATCCCAGCTCTTTGGGAGGATGAGGCAGGAGAATCACTTGAGCCCAGGAGTTTGAGGCTGCAGTGCACCCTGATTGTGCCACTGCACTCCAGCCTGGGTGACAGAGTGAGAGTCCGTCTCAAAAAATAAAATAGTAGTACATATAAAGCATAGTGAGATAAGGCTGCCAAAAAACTAATGCAAGTTTTGCCTAAAGAAGGTAATATTGCTCCTGTACTCTATGAGTACTTCAAATGCAGCTAATATGATGAATGATTTGGAAACCATGTCATGAGAACCCAGGAGAACTGTGAACATTTCCCTTGTCAGGAGAAGACTTCATGGCGGCGGCTATGGTTGCCTTCTGATAATTGAAGGATCCCTAGTGGAATAAGGAACGAATTTATTGCAGACATTGTAAGCAAGAACAACTGGTAAATGTTATAGGTTAGTACATACAGTTTCTACTCATGAAAAAGAAATAACCTTATAACAGTAGATAGATCGAGATGACTTATAGTAATGAGCTTCCTTCCAGTCACTGAAGGTATTCAAGCAGTGGCGGTATACCTGAAAAATACCTTTGTTGGGACAGTGGTTTAATTTTATTACTTCCAAAGTCCCTCATGACTCATGAGATGATATAATTCCTTGACTTTTGCCAATGAGTTCTGTTCCTGCTGTGACTAACTGAAAAGGAACAACATGTAAAGAAAACATAGCACTTGGTGTCACTGTCAGAGGAAAGTTAGGATGCTTGATGTGATGGGAAGGAGTTAATGCATACCAGGGTTTTGCATGGACAATCTAAAGAGAAGTTGTGCGTGTGTGTACATCCATACATATACACATAGGTCGCGTATATAATGCCTGTGTGTGTATGTGGATATATGTGAGTGTGTGTACATAAATATGTATGTATATGTGGATATATGTGTAATAAATAAATATACATGTTATAACTTAGGTCTAATTTCTGCCACATGTACATTTTCACTTTTGGTGTAGAATACTATACTTTTCTATAAAATAGTTTTTACCATATTATTTTAAGCAATCATTTACTATTTTTTCCATTAACTGTTTATACCGTCTCTAGAAAGAGTGCTGACCTTTGCTTTGACTTCCTGACCGCAGTGCTCTTACTCACTGCCATCTCACTTGCTTCTCTGAAGAACAGGAAATTGTCAGAATGATACCAATCATTTTAACTCAATACAGGTTTAACCTTTTGTCACAGTTTGTGTACTTATTGAATAATGCTATATTCACAAAATTTCTCTGTCTTAGGTACCTATTTTGTCACCTAAGCAAAGACTAATAAGAAAATATTACAGGAATAATTTTTATTATGGGGAAATTTGGTACCCTAGAATATAATTTCCCCAGTTTTTTTTTAGTAAGCAGACTTTTATTAAGCATAAATTGGTCTTGTGTTTTTCTCCTTAAAATTGAGGATGGAAGGGGAATGGAAATTGCTTATAAAAGGGGCAAATTTGACACTGCTGTGTATCTGTATATAGTCTTCTGGTTTTAACTTTTTAAAAATCTTCCTCATTCATTTCTTCTTGATTAATATTTATTTTCTTTTTGAACAGGCAGTGATGGTTTCAGAAAATTTTGATATAGAGGCCCCTAACTATTTGTCCAAGGAGTCTGAAGTTCTCATTTATGCCAGACGAGATTCACAGTGCATTGACTGTTTTCAAGCCTTTTTGCCTGTGCACTGCCGCTATCATCGGCCGCACAGTGAAGATGGAGAAGCCTCGATTGTGGTCAATAACCCAGATTTGTTGATGTTTTGTGACCAAGGTGAGGGCTGCAAGTGTTTTCTAAGGGTTGAAACATCAGAATAAAGGTATGGTGGCAAGTCCTCCTTCTGCTAGGCTGGCTGGCAAGGCCCTATGTCTTGACCTAGGTGGTAGTTACAAGGGTATTTATTTGCCTTATAATAATTCACTAAACTATGTATTTGAGTAGATTTTTATGTGTGTGCTTTAATTTACAATAAAAAAGTTAAAAAGAAACATGCATCTGCCATCCCTGTCCTTGACTGCGCTGCCCCAACTGTCATCTCCTTCCCTCTAAGACGAACCCACCATCCTGACTGTTAAATACTTCCTTATGTTTCTTTATATGTTTATCATCCAGATGGGCATTCCAAGACACTATACCAAGACTAAGGTCTTGTCCATTTATAAAAATCTATTATTTCCATTAAGTCTCTTAATGTACAGGTTTCTCTCTATCCCTTTCCTTTCTTCAACACTGATCTGTTGAAAGAACCTGGGCCATTTGACCTGTAGTTGGTCATAGCTGGGGTTTTGCTAATTGGACTCATGTTCCTCATACTTCTTTATTTACTGGAAATTGGCAGCTGGCTCCAGAAGAATGATCAGATTCCGGTTTGATTCCTTTGACAAAACTATAGGTCAGTGCTGTGTTCTCTTCTCAGTAGCCATTTAATATTAGTAGGCATGTACTATGTGTTTCTTTTTGCAGCCATTGGTCCACATTACCCCTCTGTTGCTTTTTGTTTCTTGTTATCAGTATTGCAGGACTCTGGCTTTTGATGTTTTGTTTCTACTTGCATGTATTTTGATGTTTGGGAAGATATTTTATCACCTAGTTTTGTTGCAGATTTTGTCTGTGAGTTTTTAATTTTGCTGCATAATTGTCGTTTCTGTTTTTATGTGGGAATGGGTAAACTGAAAAATCAGCTTTTGCTGCCGGGCGAGGTGGCTCACGCCTGTAACCCCAGCACTTTGGGAGGCCGAGGCGGGTGGATCATGAGTTCAGGAGTTCGAGACCAGCCTGACCAACATGGTGAAACCCCGTCTCTACTAAAAATACAAAAAATTAGCTGGGAGAGGTGGCGGGCGTCTGTAATCCCAGCTACTTGGGAGGCGGAGGCAGGAGAATCATTTGAACCCAGGAGGCGGAGGTTGCAGTGAGCCAAGATTACACCACTGCACTCTAGCCTGGGTGACAGAGCGAGACTGCGTCTCAAAAAAAAAATAAAATAAAAAAAATAAAAAGCTTTTGCAGTTTGCAGTCTTCTCAAGATGTTTTCTTTCTTTCTTTCTTATTTTTTTTTTTTGAGGCGGAGTCTCGCTCTGTTGCCCAGGCTGGAGTGCAGTGGCGCAATCTCGGCTTACCGCAATCTCCGCCTCTCCTGCCTCAGCCTCCTGAGTAGCTGGGACTACAGGCTGCGCCACCATGCCTGGCTAATTTTTGTATTTTTAGTAGAGACGGAGTTTCACTATGTTGGCCAGACTAGTCTCGAACTCCTGACCTCGTGATCCACCCGCCTCGGCCTCCCAAAGTGCTGGGATTACAGGCGTGAGCCACAGCACCTGGCCAAGACATTTTCTTTAGTTTACGAAGCCCCTTTCAGTTTTTGGTTCTTTGTGTCTTCAAATTTGGGTTGATTTAGAATGTTTATAAAAGTTAGTAGCACTGGGGCCAGGTGCAGTGTATCACACCTGTAATCCCAGCACTTTGGGAGGCCGAGGCAGGCGGATCAGTTGAGGTCAGGAGTTCGAAACCAGCCTAGACAACATGGTGAAACCCTGTCTCTACTAAAAATATAAAAATTAGCCAGGTGTGGTGGTATGCACCTGCAATCCCAGCTACTTGGGAGGCTGAGGCACGGGAATCACTTGAACCTGGGAGGCGGAGGTTTCAGTGAGCTGAGATCGCGCCACTGCAGTCCAGCCTGGGAGACAGAGCAAGACTGTCTCAAAAAAAAAAAAAAAAGTTAGTAGCACTGTTACTAAAAACCGACAGATGGGAAGTTTTTAATACTACATTTGTTACCGTCATACCTTTCATGACGAGAAAATTAAAAATGTTCAATTATATTACCTTTGTTCATCCAACCTTGTTTTCTGTTTCTATTAAAGGTACCTCTTAGCATAAATAAAGTTTGAAAAAGTTCCTCTCCTGAGAGAACTGGATTCTGATATTCTGTCTTTTTATCTGAATGCTCTTTTATGGGTGTGTTTCATATGGAAATTTATCGAGTTTTGCACTTACGATATGTTCACTTTTCTGAGTGATGCTTCAAAAATAAGTTTACATTAAATTTTTAAGAGCAGCCCCAAATTTGAGTACAATGAGATTCATTAAGAAGTCATGTTTGGCCAGGCGTAGTGGCTCACGCCTGTAATCCCAACACTTTGGGAAACTGAGGTGGGTGGATCACGAGGTCAGGAGTTCAAGACCATCCTGGCCAAGATGGTGAAACCCGATCTCTACTAAAAATACAAAAATTAGCTGGGTGCAATGGCAGGCACCTGTAATCCCAGCTACTCTGGAGGCTGAGGCAGGAGAATCGCTTGAACCCAGGAGGTGGAGGTTGCAGTGAGCCGAGATTGCACCACAGCACTCCAGCCTGGGTGACAGAGTGAGACTCTGTCTCAAAAAAAAAAAAAAAAAAAAAAAAGAAGTCATGTTCAACTTTTGCAATACTTTTGTGATTTTCTAATTTCTTAGGCATTCACATAAAAAAGGATGCTAAAATAACAGAATGTGATAGATGGGTCCAGATCATATACATAATGTATTAAAATGTTTGACAACTTCTGTCTATTGAGGTTTAATACAAGCCTAGCTTTCAGTCCAAATACAGGTTTTCTGACATCATTTTCTACCACTTTTCTCAGAGTTCCCGATTTTGAAATGCTGGGCTCACTCAGAAGTGGCAGCCCCTTGTGCTTTGGAGAATGAGGATATCTGCCAATGGAACAAGATGAAGTATAAATCAGTAAGCTAATGTTTTATGTTGTTTTTTAGATCATGTGCCTCATTTAAAGCTCTTTCTGTAATGTTCCTGCCACATTTAAGAGATTAGCATTTTTTTTTTTTTTTAGGCGGAGTCTCGCTCTGTCACCCAGGCTGGAGTGCAGTGGCACAATCTCGGCTCACTGCAGCCTCCGCCTACCAGGTTCAAGTGATTCTCCTGCCTCAGCCTCCCAAGTAGCTGGGATTCTAGGTGCCCGCCACCACACCCAGCTAATTTTTGTAGTTTTGGTAGAGGCAGGGTTTCACCCTGTTGGCCAGGCTGGTCTCAAACTCCTGACTTTAGGTGATCCGCCTATCTTGGCCTCCCAGAGTGCTGGGATTACAGGCATGAGCCACCGTGCCCAGCTGGGATTAGCATTTTCTAATATAGAAAGCTGTTTTTTCTTACAGCAAAGGGTTACTACAAAGCACTGCTGTTTTTTGTTGGGGAACTTTCATTGAACATACAGTTGGGAAGATGGATGACTCTGCAATCTTATGCAGTGTAGAGTTGTTTTTGAGTAGGTTGCCATTGCCATATGGTACCTGAAAATTTTTCTCAAACTCTAAAATACATCTGGAGACCTGCATTTGATTGATTATGTCAATGAAGAGTATGCTTAGTGTTTATGATTTATTGATTTAGCAAATTAGTGTGTATTGCTACAAGATAAGTAGTGACCCTTTTAAAACATTTTGAATTCAGTTGTCCTTATTTATTTATTTATTTATTTTGAGACAGAGTCTCGCTCTGTTGCCCAGGCTGGAGTGCAGTGGTGCAATCTTGGCTCACTGCAACCTCCGCCTCCCTGTTCAATCAGTTCTCCTGTCTCAGCCTCCCGAGTAGCTGGGACTATAGGCGCCTGCCACCATGCCCGGCTAATTTTTGTATTTTTAGTAGAGACGGGGTTTCACCTTGTTGGTCAGGCTGGTCTCAAACTCCTGACTTCAGGTGATCCACCCCCGTCAGCCTCCCAAAGTGCTGGGATTACAGGCGTGAGCCACCACACCTGACTTCAGTTGCCTTTAAAATTCTGTAACTTGCCATAAGAGGTCATAATAATTTAACACTTTAAATATAGCTTTTAACTATATGTATATATTATTTATATATATATATATATATATATATATATATATATATATATTTTATTTTATTTTATTTTTTTTTTTATTTTATTTTTTTTTTTGAGACGGAGTCTCGCTCTGTTGCCCAGGCTGGAGTGCAGTGGCACGATCTCGGCTCACCACAACCTCCGCCTCCCGGGTTCAAGTCATTCTCCTGCCTCAGCCTCCTGAGTAGCTGGGACTATAGGCACGTGCCACCATGCCTGGATAATTTTTGTATTTTTAGTAGAGACAGGGTTTCACTGTGTTGGCCAGGCTGGTCTCAAACTCCTGACCTCATGATCCGCCTGCCTCAGCCTCCCAAAGTGCTGGGATTACAGGCATGAGCCACTGCACCCGGCCAACTTTATATATATTTCATCTTCATATATACCAGAAAAATAGGTGGCCATTACTAAGGTGGTATTCCATCCCAAGGATTGTTGAAGATGTCATTTTTTTGAATGACGGTTTTCAGATAGCACTTTGTTGCAGATTGGGTTGGTTACTTGTATTTTTTGGGGTGTGAAATCATAATTCAGGTATTTACAAAAAGAAAAAGTATTCCCAAGTTACGTACATTTTAATGTTTTTTAAAACTTATTTTTAAAGTATAAACTTTCCCAGTGTTTTTCATTGAACTTTATCTTCAAAACCAAATAGAAAATAGAAACTGAGTTGAATGTAGGAGCTTTTCCATTGCTAGTCATAGTAAAGGCCACATCCAGCTGTACAATATGGGAATAACAAGGCTTTAAAAGCTATCTGGGGAGAGAAAGGCAAATGGGAATGAAAGAATAATTTAGTTTTTTGTTGTTTTAATGTTTTTCCTCTAAGTCTTCAATTTAGAGAGAATTCTGTATTCTAATTTGAAACATGGTAAGAGGAAGTAAATGTTTATATTGATTACAGAGGTGACACTGGGATATAGCTTTTCTTAAAATAATATACTTTATGTAAAAAGCAGAAAAATCAGAACTAATGAGATTTAACAAATTATTGTGGGAATTGAGTCTGATTCTGTAACATTAAATGAAATGTTAGATTCAAAAGTCATTCAAACCAATAATATTACATGTAGTGTAGCACTGGCTGAAATATATTTAAAAGAAAAAGGAAATAAAAATATCCAATTAAAAATCAAAGAAATAGTGGTCTCACCTTATGACATTTATTTTATTTTACTATTTTTATTTATTTATTTATTTATTTGAGACAGAGTCTTCCTCTGTCTCCCAGGCTGGAGTACAGTGGCACGATCTCAGCTCACTGCAAACCTCCGCCTCCCGGGTTCAAGTGATTGTTCTGTCTTAGCCTCCCTAGTAGCTGGGACTACAGGCACCTGCCACCACACCTGGCTAATTTTTGTATTTTTAGTAGAGATGGTTTAGTAGAGATGTTGGCCAGGCTGGTTTTGAACTCCTGACCTCAAGCGATCTGCCCGCCTTGGCCTCCCGAAGTGCTGGGATTACAGGCATGAGCTACCACACCGGGCCCATGACATGCATTTTCAATGTCTAACTTCTCTCTCTCTCTCCATAGGTATATAAGAATGTGATTCTACAAGTTCCAGTGGGACTGACTGTACATACCTCTCTAGTATGTTCTGTGACTCTGCTCATTACAATCCTGTGCTCTACATTGATCCTTGTAGCAGTTTTCAAATATGGCCATTTTTCCCTATAAGTTTTATGTAGTTAAATGCTTCCTAGAAACCTAAATAAGATCTATTAATTTCTGACGAGAGGTGTTCTTCTAGAATTAATTACTTTTATCTTTTGTCTTCATTTGTGGCCAAAATTATGTTTACTAGAGGAAATTTGGGATCATTCTCAGCTAATTCCAAAATGTAGTGCTCTATTGCATGGATCCTTGGTAATCCTCAAGCATCAGATGCCATAAGGGGAAACTTAATTCTGCTAAATTAATGTTTATTTTGTGAGAAGTGACTTTATCTTCATTTGGGGTAGAAAAATTATTTCTTTATGTAGTAGAGACAAATTATTCTCATTTTGCAAGTACTTTCAATTTAAGCTACAAATTGAGAAAACCGTTATAAATAAGAATAAAATAGGCCAGGCACAGTGGCTCACACCTGTAATCCCAGCACTTTGGGAGGCCGAGGTGGGCGGATCACCAGAGGTCAAGAGTTTGAGACCAGCTTGGTGAAACCCTGTCTCTACTAAAAATACAAAAGTTAGCTGGGGCTGGTGGTGGGCATCTGTAGTCCCAGCTAATTGGAAGGGTGAGGCGGGAGGATCGCTTGAACCTGGGAGGCGGAGGTTCCAGAGAGCCAAGATCGCACCACTGCACTACAGCCTGGGCGACAGAACGAGACCCTGTCTCCAAAGGAAAAACAAAAAAGAAGAATAAAATAATTTGGATGAAAATCATGTTTATTTAAATAGTAATGTCATGAGACTATTAAAGATGTGCCAGAGTTTCAATGAAAATCATTAAAGTAGGACAGCTAAGAAATTAATATTAATATCAAAATTATTGATAATCTTAAATTATTGATTATTCCTTAACGCACTCCATTCTCCTTTTACATTTTATCATGTTTCTTTTGAATATATGAATTGGCAAAGGACTTGATGAAACTGAGTACTAAGATTTGGTACAGAGTATGTCAGGAAGACAACTCAGATTGCCATTTTAAATAAAGTTGTACATGAACAATAATTGGAATCATCAGGTAATTTTTTTAAACAAAGGTTCTTCATTTACTGTTATGATTGGAAAAAAATTAGAAAATAAAGTAAGTGCCATAGGCTAATTAAAAAATAAAACCTTGGCCGGGCGCGGTGGCTTACGCCTATAATCCCAGCACTTTGGGAGGCCGAGACGGGCAGATCACGAGGTCAGGAGATTGAGACCATCCTGGCTAACACGGTGAAACCCCATCTCTACTAAAAATACAAAAAAATGAGCCGGGTATGGTGGTGCATACCTGTAGTCCCAGCTACTCGGGAGGCTGAGGCAGGAGAATGGCATGAACCCGGAAGGCAGAGCTTGCAGTGAGCCGAGATCACGCCACTGCACTCCAGCCTGGGCGACAGAGTGAGACTCTGTCTCAAAAAAAAAAAAAAAAAAAAAAAAAAAAAAGTAAATAAAACCTTAGGGCAAGCATGTTCCAAAACAGAAGACATCAAACCAGGGTGTGTTGGCATTATTTATTTTATGTAGAGTATTGAGATGTGATAAACCTTTGTATATGCCATCACTGCTCCATTTCCTAAAGTATTTTGGTGTTTTCATGGGACTACATCTTGTATAATTTGACATGTATGACCTGACTAGTCCTAACAGTTCTTTTTAAACGTGTATTTGAGACTTAAATATTGGAAAAGGTAACCCAGTGCCATAAAGCAGAAACAGTGACCTTTAAAATGACTAAAATTTCAACCCAGTATAGTTTCATACCTATTTCATGCTTTCTCGTAAGAAAGAATTTCATGTTTTAGAAACATTTCTTTCACTATGGGATTAATAATATGACACTGAAATGGAATTATATATGTCAGCTACAATTCAGGCATTGTTTTGGGATATGGTTAGATTGACAGGCAACGTTTTGGAATATGGTTAGACGGGGAGGGAACACGGTACTGTTTAACATCTTAAGAGTATGTGGGGGTATGTGTATACAGAATGTTTTTGTTTTTGCTCATCACAACCAGGTTTCATCAGTATTTAAAATATTTAAGATTGTGGCTTGGAATGTGGTTCAGCCATTTACTCACTTATACAAATATTCAGAAGTGTAATAAAAATGTGAATGAAGAAAACTTTGATATAACTCTTCTTGCTTAGATAAATGGTTGCAGATGACATCACTTTTAGTATAACAGAACATTTCTGGTTTTGTTTGTATTATCTTGTAAACATGGCCAACATGGTGAAACCCCATCTCTACTAAAAATACAAAAAATTAGCCGGGAGTGGTGGCATGCGGCTGTAATCCCAGCTACTCGGGAGGCCGAGGCAGGAGAATCACTTGAACCCGGGAGGCAGAGGTTGCAGTGAGCCGAGATCGTACCACTGCACCCCAGCCTGGGCGACAGAGTGAGACTCCGTCACAAAAAAAAAAAAAAAAGGGAAAGAAAAAGAAAGAAATATACCTTTTAAGGAGTTCCTTTAGTGTGTCTCTGTTGGTAGCTTGTTTATGTTTGATGATATATTTATTTCATCCTCACTCATCTGATGGATAATTTAGGTAGTTGTACACTTTTTTTTTTTTTTTTTTTTTTGAGACAGAGTCTTGCTCTGTCGTCCAGGCTGGAGTGCAGTGGTGTGATCCCTGCTCACTGCAACCTCTGCTTCCTGGGTTCAAGTGATTCTCCTGCCTCAGCCTACCAAGTAGCTGGGACTACAGGCGCACACCACCACACCCTGCTATTTTTTATATTTTTAGCAGAGACAGGGTTTTGCCGTTGTTGGCCAGGCTGGTCTTGAACTCCTGATCTCAGGTGATCTGCCCACCTCAGCCTCCTAAAGTGCTGGGATTACAGGTGTGAGCCACTGTGCCCAGCCGGTAGCTGTACACTTCTAAGCTTGGTTATTTTCTCTTGGTACTTTGAAAATATACCATTATTGACTGGCACCCGTTTTGCTGTTGTGAAATCTGCTATGAATGTAATAGTTGTTTGTACAGAATGTCTTTTCTCTCTGGTTGCTTTATCTCTGGTATTCTGCGGTTTCATTTTCATGTGTTTGAAATTTCTTTACTTATCCTGCTTGGTATTCAGTTTGCTTCCTGAATCTGAAGATTCCTGTCTTTAATCAATTCTGGAAATTTTTCAGCCATTATCTCATCATTATCTGCCTCTCTTGGTTTTTCTCTTTTCTCTCCTGGAATTCTCATTAGGAGTATGGTAGAGACCTTAACAATCTATCCCCATGTCTCTTAAGCTTGCTTTCATTTTTCCTGTCTCTAGGCTGTTCTCAGTAATTTCTTTTGGTCTGTCTTCCAGTTTACTAATTTTCTCTTCAATTGTGTGTAATCTGCTATTTAACCAAACATTGGCTTTGGTTTCAGTTATTCTTTGTTTCTAGAAATTCTACTTAATTCTTTTGTTGTTGTTGTTTTTGTTTTGAGACGGAGTTTTGCTCTTGTTGCCCAGGCTGGAGTGCAATGGCATGTTCTTGGCTTACTGCAACCTCCACCTCCCAGGTTCAAGTGATTCTCCTGCCTCAGCCTCCTGAGTAGGTGGGACTACAGGTGCCCACCACCACGCCTGGCTAATTTTTGCATTTTTAGTAGAGACTGGGGTTTCACCATGTTGGCCAGGCTGGTCTCGAACTCCTGACCTCGGGTGATCTGCCCACCTCGGCCTCCCAAACTGCTGGGATTACAGGTGTGAGCCACCGCGCCTGGCCTACTTATTTCATTTTCAAAGCTGTTTGGTCGTTAAAAAAAAAAAGCATCTTGTTTCTTGCTCGTGTTTTCTAGCTCCTGTCTTACTTTCTTTAATCATTTAAATAGGCGTACTGTATATTCTGTAGCCATCAATTCCAGCAGCTAAAGTCTGTGTGGGTTTCATTATGTTCTTTGTAGTTTCTATTGACTCACTCATCGCTGCTTATTTCCTCAGGTGTATTGTATTTCGGGTGCTCATGTTTGGCTTCGGAAATCCTGTTTATCTGTGAAATCCTTTGAGACCGAGGTTGAGGGTACACCTGTGCAGTCAGGATTTGTATTTGTTTCTTCCAGGCCCCCCAGAACTCCAGCCTGGGACCACTTTCTTGACAAATTTGAACTTTAAAACCTTAGTGAGGGAAAATTCTAAAGGGTTATTAATTCTAAAGGGAAAATTTTCTTCTGCCCTGCAAGCCCACTGCAGGCCAAAGTAAACAAATGTCCTGTGTGTCTCCCTGGGCTAGCATAGGGTTTTTTTTCCCCCCAGTCTGTTCTTGGAGGGTATAGCGCCTTGAATTTCCAGTCCTATGCAGGATCACAGTCCTGACTTCTTGTATAGGCCCAAGTCCTTGTCTTTAGTTTCCTGTGCACCTATTAAAACTCTAGAGATTTCTGAGATAAGTAGGTGCCCTCAACACAACCATGGCTTCACTGCCCTGCTTACCACTCTGGTGTCCTGCCCCTTCTTCAGGTTGAGTGTGAAATTTGGAAGACTGTCAGAAACATTCTATTTTCATTCTTGCAAGTTATGCCTTTGAAAGGATGTCTTATTTATCCAGTGTTTCTGTGTGTTTAATAATCAGAGCATTTTTCAGGTTATCTCTTACTGTGCCATGTTGCTCCTTGATTCCTTTCTCTCCTGTACCCACTGCATCAATTGAGTTTTTTGCTCTACATTGATAGAGAAGCACAATTCCTCTTTCTTTCCACTGCCTTCCTACTTTATTTCCCTTCTATTCTTGCATCTCTATACTCCATTATCCACATTGCAGTCTAGTGATCTTAAAGTGTAAGCCAGGTAACATCGCTTTCCTGCTTAAAAAAGCCTTTTAATGGTTTTTTGTAATATAGACTTTTTACCATGGCATTCAGGATCTTTCATGACCTGAATCTTGTCTGCTGTAGTGTTTTCTTAATAGTACCGCCTTCTTGTTCTAGGCCCCAGCTACACAGGCCTTCTTAACTGACCGTAGCAAGCCCTTTTCTTTCTTCTCCTGCCTGTATTGCTTTTCTCTGGGTGCTTCTTATTGCTGTCTCTTTCTGTTCTTGCCTTAAGTGTCACCTCCTTAACGAGGCCTTCTCCGACCACCCTATCCAAAGTAACCTCGCCAAGTTTTTTCTTATACCAGGTGTGACTACTTTAATTACTGCGTCCTCATATAAGCTCCACAAAGGCTTGGTGAATCGTGTTCACCCTTGCATTTCTTTTGTGTTTTTTGTTTTGTTTTTGAGGCATGACGACTCTGTCACGCTGAAGTGCAGTGGCCCGATCTTGGCTCACTGCAGCCTCCTCCTCCTGGGTTCAAGCGATTCTCCTGCCTTAGTCTCCCGAGTAGCTGGGACTACAGATGCGTGCCACCATGCCCAGCTAATTTTTGTATTTTTAGTAGAAACGGGGTTTCATCGTGTTGGCCAGGCTGGTCTCGAACTCCCGACCTCAGGTGATCCGCCTGCCTCAGCCTCCCAAAGTGCTGGGATTACAGGCGTGAGCCACCGCACCTGAACCACCCTTGTATTTCTGATGCTTAACAGTGTCTAGTCCATATCAGACACTCAAATATTTGTAGAATAAGTGAAACATTGATGAACTCCTCCGTGGATAAAATAGGGAAGTCTTAATTTGCAAGGAGGTGATACTTAATTTAGCAGCAAAATTTTAGTTAAGAATTTGTAAGCAAAAAAGCAAAATGGATAACGGATGAATTCCCAGAAACAAATGTCGCGGAGCAGATGTGTATAACAGCAATCGTCTGTCAGCGTCTTCCGTCGGCAGAGACCTGCTTGGAGACAATGCTGAATTAAATGAGGGACTGGCTGCTCCTCTCAATACAAAGACTACCCAAGGAATAAAAGCAACGTCTATCACCGAACTACTACTCCCAGCGGCCCCCGCGCGGGCCTGCCCATGGGAGGTGGCGCTCGTCTCCGCCCCGGGGAGCTCCGGCTTCGGGGCGGGAGGGGTTCTGGGTTCTGGCCCCGCCCCGCCCCGCTCCCCGCCGTCTTCCTCCCCCAGGGTTGTGGCCACGCGCAGCGGCGGCGGTTGTTCCGCTTCCCCTCCGGCCCGGGCCGTCGCCATTGCCGAAGGCTCCCTCCCCTCCCCTCCCTGGCGTGCGCAGGACTCCGCCGCCGCTGGGCCTAGCGGTAGCAGCGGCTGCTCCAGCGCGGCGTCTCTTCCCGCCCCGCTTCCCCTTCCCTCCCCTCCCCTCCCCGCACCGCGCGCTAGCCCGGGGCGGCTCCGCAGCCCGCCGGGAGCTCTGACCGAGGCGCCTCGCTGGGGCGGGGACCTTGCCTTGCCCGGGGTAAGTGCACACAGGCCGGCCGGCGCGGGACGCAGGCCGGGTCTCTTCCTCCTCCTTCCTTCTCCGTGGCCTGGCGGGCGGGAGCGGCCCGGGACGGCCGACCTGCCCCGCGCGGGGCCGGGGAGCCGCCACCTGCGTGCTGGGAGCCGCAGCTCCTGGGGCGGTGGCTCATTGTCTGCTCCCCAGGGCCGTTTTCTTCGCTGGCTTTAGCCAGAAATGGGAAGCTCGCTGGGCTGCGGAGGTCTGACTCTTCCTGGACCCAGCCCTGCTCTGAACCTCGCGGCACCACGGTCTCTGCCGACTCTCGGTCTTCCCTCCCCTCGCGTTTCACCCTCTTCCTTTGCTCCGTTTTCTTAATGCTGGACCAGACTCTCCGGTTTTGTTCCTTGATTTTTCCTCTCACTGATTCTCAGCCCCTGCTTGCTCGCTCTCTGTTCACCCGTTTCACTGCTCAGGAATATTGTCGCGAGTAGCTTGACTGTTTTCTCAGCTCCAGCCTGTAACCTCTTTTCCACATTCCACATTGGTAAAAACGTAGAGCGTCCCGGGCGCTTGAGGGCCACCGCTTACGAACTGATCTTTCGGAGCTTCTCCTCGCTCCTGTTTGAGCTTCAGCCTAGGGGTGAAATTTGCTTCTTTAGATAACTTAGGTGAAGTTAAGATTGGTTTTTCACCATGTTTGGCTCTCTTGGAAACACACGCACGCACAAACACAAAACGTTGCCACTCAACCTTTTAACTAATTCTTTAAAGATAAGTCATCCAAGAACAGAAGCGTGTCATCGTCAGTGGGTGTGAGGTTGTACCCATCCTTGTATCTTAATTTTAGTAGTACTCTCCCTGGGCAGTGTGAGCGTGATTTGTTGTCCCTTGATAAATAACGAACTCCGGTTGATATCATTATCTCACTTCTGCGTTACAGGCGATGTGTCCTTTCTTTGTTTTCTTTTTTAACCTTTATAAAAAGACAAAATGGTTAGGCCTAAAATTAAACTACGAAGAGCTGTGTTTTGGATCAAGGTTGTGCACGTCACGTTTTTTCCCCTGCTGTGTTCGACTCTTCCGCTCTTATAAGTAGGCAGGATATTGAAATGTACAAGAATTTGCTCTGGGGATTTTGTTTTTGTAGGGTTGTCCAATAGAATAACACTCAGTAAAGTTACATTGGGATGAAGGCAGTGAATAGTAATTTTTAAAGCAGGTTAAAACTTGTCAACTTTGCCAGAAGGTCTGTGGCTTCTGTAAAGCCCACTCATGCTCGTGTATATATGAAGAGCCTTTTTCATGTTCTGTTAGGAGTATGGATTTCAGGCAACTTTTTCACTGTGTCATCCTCGGCTATTAAATCTTTCGAGCTACTTATTAGCCAAGCACATTGATTGACACTTATTACGGAAAGTGAACCTGTAATAGATGTAGGTCTTAAACCAACTTTCCGATTTGGTAACAGGTTGACCTAAATTCAGTGTATTTTGTGTTTTCACTAAGTAGCCCATTGTTACCTTTCCCTCCAGCAAGGCTCTGAAAAAAGTGGCTCCAATACTCAGCTTCAATACTGTCATCATTTCTTAAATAGTAGTATCAGTTGTCCTTAACTTAATGGATGTTTTATTGGCCTGAGGGATTAAGGTGTAGAAAGGTTGGAGTTTTGTTGGAGTTTGAAACTTGGTCTGTAGATGTTGGCTTCTCTGCCAGTTTCTTCTAATCAGCAGATATTTTTATGAAGGAAGAGTTCCTGGGTATTTCACTTCCCTTAGGGCCTTGGTTTATGGTTTACTCTCATTCAGAGAGAGATACTATTCTGGACTCCGTGCTATTTAATACTAACCTTGCAAACCCAAATTCAAAATTAAGTTTATAGTTCGAGTATACAGGCGATAGGGCTCTCTGATCTTTATGATAGACAGGTTCCCAAGTAGATGCGGTTAACAATTAATATTTCTTTTTTTTTTTTTTTTTTGAGACGGAGTTTCAGTTGCCCAGGCTGGAGTGCAATGGTGCGATCACCGCAACCTCCGCCTCCTGGGTTCAAGCGATTCTCCTGTCTCAGCCTGCTGAGTAGCTGGGATTACAGGCACGCGCCACCACGCGCGGCTAATTTTGTATTTTTAGTAGAGATGGGGTTTCACCGTGTTGGTTAGGCTGGTCTCGAACTCCCGACCTCAGGTCATCTGCCCGCCTCAGCCTCCCAAAATGCTGGGATAGGCGTGAGCCACGGCACACCACCAACAGTTTCTATTTCAATTATACTTTTTAAGAGAGACTAGAACTTGTTCAGGTAGCTAAAGATAAACTTTCAATTATACTTTTCTAATATTTAAGAACTTCAAGTAGCCAAGGATAAAATGAGTAGGAATTGTTAGATTCTTCCTTTTATCCATCAAAATCGATTATTATTATAATAATATTTGAGTATATTTCTTTTGGCTTTCTGACTTTTACACTTTTGGTTAAAATTTGAAACTGGGTCTTCTTCGCCGGGCGCGGTGGCTCACGCCTGTAATCCCAGCACTTTGGGAGGCCGAGGCGGGCGGATCACGAGGTCAGGAGATCAAGACCATCCTGGCTAACACAGTGAAACCCCGTCTCTACTAAAAATACAACAAAAAATTAGCCGGGCTTGGTGGCAGGCGCCTGTAGTCCCAGCTACTCGGGAGGCTGAGGCCGGAGAATGGCGTGATGAACCCGGGAGGCGGAGCTTGCAGTGAGTCGAGATCGCGCCACTGCACTCCCGCCTGGGCTACAGAGCGAGACTCCGTCTCATTAAAAAAGAAAAAGAAAAAGAAACTGGGTCAACTTCAAGACTTTAAGTCGTAAAGGTTTCCATCAGTTTGGTATAAGAGTTGAGTTTCCAGACTAATCAGAGGGAGGGTGTTAATTGCAAATTGTGTGTCCAAGCTCTTCCTAGTATCCTTTTTGTGCCTTAACAGAGCAGAATAGGAAAGGAAAAAAATCCCTCATTGCCCCCAAAAAATAAAATACTGGTTGTTTTCTTCTGTGATCAGAGTTGAGTTTCATCACTTCTTCCCTTCTAGGGTCACCTGCCTGGTTAAGGGTAGTCAGTCTGAACATTCATTCAGGATTTCAGTGTTCCAGCCTACTATCTCTGAGTTTCTTTAGTACTTACTCCATGTATCCCATGTGGTTAGGAGCTAGAGTCCTGCGTTTGAATTCTTGCTGTTCTACTTTACCCTGGGCAAGATATACATTCTTTTCAAGACTTGCTTTTCTCACCTGTAAGATGGGGATAATAATAATAATACCAATTTCACAGGGATATTTAGATCAAATGAGGGAATGCAGGTAAAGGATTCTGTAATTATAGGTCTTAATAAACGTTAGTTAATAGTCTGTTCTTACATGCTGTAGAGTCGATACTCCTAAACTTAGAATTAAAACTGCCTTCTAGGCCGGGTGCGGTGGCTCACACCTGTAATCACAACACATTAGGAGGCTGAGGTGGGCCGATCACTTGAGGTCAGGAGTTCAAGACCAGCCTGGCCAACATGGTGAAACCTATATTCTCTACTATTCTTTAGTAGAGAATTTAGTATTCTCTACTAAAAATAAAAATATTAGCTGGGCGTGGTGGCGGGCGCCTGTAATCCCAGCTACTCAGGAGGCTGAGGCAGGAGAACTGCTTGAACCCAGGAGGCAGAGGCTGCAGTGAGCTGAGATTGCGCCACTGCACTTCAGCCTGGGTGACAGAGTGAGACTCCGTCTCAAAAACAAACAAACAAACAAACAAAAAACTGCCTTCTAAAAGAACGAAGTTTCTGAGACCGTAACTAAAAATAAAAATTACTTTTGGATGAATAAAATGTAATTTTTCAGGAGAAAAAATATGTAATAGTTTCACCACTGAAATAAAACATAGGGTTTTTGAACACAAATTTCTCAGATTTAAAAATATGCATATTTCCTGTATAAAAGTTGAAAAGTGGGCAGTGGCTGGTGGTGCCTGTAGTCCTAGCTACTTGGGAGGCTGAGGATCCTTTGAGTCCAGGAATTTGAGGTCAGCCAGGACAATACAGGGGGACCCCATCTCTTAAATCAGACAAAAATAAAAGTAGAAAAAAATATTAAATAAGAAATTTGGAAAGTGGTAAAAACTTTTAAGACAAAATTACCTTAGTCTCAGCTGGCAGAACCATTGTAACAAACTGGAACAGTGGTTTTGTTCCTTATTTTAAATTTAAATTCTAAAAGCAGTACATATTTATTATAAAAGGTTCAAACAAGTCAATTAAATATTTAAAGAGTGAAAATTCTTTGGGAGACTGAGGCAGGAGGATCACCTGAGCTCAAGAGTTGGAGGTATAGTGAGCTATGATTGCACCATTGCATTCCAGCCTGGGTGACAGAGCAAGACCCTGTCTTATAAAATTCTTAAAAAGTGAAAATTACTTTCTCTTTTTAGTCCCATTCCTTAGAAGTACCTACCCGCTGTTAATAGTTTTACTTACTGAGTTAGAAATAAGTAGTACCTTTTGTGTGTCGGATACTTTTTATGTTGATTTTAAAATAAAAAATCTGATCATTAAGTATTGTTTTCCATATCATGACATATAGTGGCACCTCTACTTTTTAAGTCATTAGATATTATGCTGTATGGTAGTACTTTAATTATTTGTGATCATTTATGTTATTTCTAACTTTGAGCAACTAAAACTAGAGCCTTAATGAACTTATACGTATGTCTTTGTGCACATGCATATGTAGATAAGTATTTCCATTAAAACGACTTGTAAGTGTGCATTTAAATTTCTTTTTTCTTTTTTTTTTGAATTGCATTCCAAAAAGACTTGTAATGTATATTTCCTTATTGAGTTGTAGAAGCTCTTCACATGTAATAGATATTAATCTATTGCCTTCTGTTTAAGATCTTCCTCATTCCACCTTTACAAAAAACATTCTTATGTGTTTTCTTCTGGTACTTTTAATAATTATTGTGTTTCAATCTTTTTTTTTTTTTTGTGACAGAGTCTCACTCTGTCACTCAGGCTGGAGTGCAGTGTTGGATCTCAGCTCACTGCAACTTCCGCCTCCCGGGTTCAAGTGATTCCCCTGCCTCAGCCTCCCGAGTAGCTGGGATTACAGGCACCATACCATCGCACCCAACTGATTTTTTTTTTTTTTTTTTTTTTGTAGAGACGGGGTTTTGCTATGTTGGCCAGGCTGGTCTCAAACTCCTGACCTCAGGTGATCTGCCTGCCTTGGCTTCCCGAAGTGTTGGGATTACAGGCGTGAGCCACCGTGCCCAGCCCATTGTGTTTCAATCTTAATCTTTCTGGAATTTTTTCATGCCTGGTGGGGATAAAAGAGTTTTAAAATAGTTTTGCTACAGAAATAAAATACAGGTATAAAAATATTTGGCCGGGTGCAGTGGCTTACGCCTGTAATCCCAGCACTTTGGGAGGCCTAGGTGGGTGGATCACCTGATGTCAGCAGTTGGAAACAGCCTAACCAACGTGGTGAAACCTTGTGTCTACTGAAAACACAAAAAATTAGCTGGGTGTGGTGGTGCACACCTGTAGTTCCAGCTACTCCGGAGGCTGAGGCAGGAGAATTGTCTGAGCCCGGGAGGCGGAGGTTGCAATGACCTGAGATCAAGCCACTGCACTCCAGCCTGGGCAACAGAACGAGACTCCATCTCTAAGTAAAAAAAAAAAAAGAAGAAGTAGTAACTAGATTTTTCTGTTCATTGGTATTTTTATTATCTTACTGGACTTCAGTAAACGTCTTTATTTTGTTTTCCAGGTTCATTGTTTTATCTGAGAATAATAGTAACTTCAGTCACTTTTCTATGGTTACAATATTTAACCTTTTTTTTTTTTCTTTTTCTTTCTTTTTTAAAGACGGGGTTTCACCGTATTAGCCAGGATGGTCTCGATCTCCTGACCTCGTGATCCGCCTGCCTCAGCCTCCCAAAGTGTTGGACAGGCATGAGCCACCGTGCCCAGCCCTTAACCCTGTTTTAGGTCTTTATTACATTGGCCTGAAGTTCCAAGACTTGGTTAAACAAGAGACGTGTCGTTGTCTTGAAATGACTCTGGTATTAATATTTTTACAGTTAGGGATGATGGCAGCTGTTGGATTTAGAGAAAGATTATTATTTTATTCTGTTTCTGCTTTACAAAAAATAGGAATGGCTTCTGAATTTTATGAGATGCTATTGTAACATTTAGATGATGATATGGTTTTCTTCTTTTAACTATTGCTGAGGATATGTAATAGTAAATTTGCTATTAATCAAAGGTATCACAAGGTATATATCGTGAATAACCAAAATCCCACTCATATTAGTCCTGCGTACGGAATTTATTGAAAGGTTAGAGGAGAATCTCATATAAATTTAGATTAATAAGAATAGGCCGGGCACAGTGGCTCATGCCTGTTATCCCAGCACTTTGGGAGGCCGAGGCAGGTGGATCAGCTGAGGTTTGGAGTTTGAGACCAGCCTGACCAACATGGAGAAACCTGTGTCTACTAAAAATAGAAAATTAGCCAGGTGTGGTGGCAGGTGCCTGTAGTCCCAGCTACTCGGGAGGCTGAGGCAGGAGAATCGCTTGAACCCGGGAGGCGGAGGTTGCAGTGAGCCGAGATCGTGCCATTGCACTCCAGCCTGGGCAACAAAAGTGAAACTCTGTCTCATTAAAAAAAAAAAAAAAAAGGATAGGCCTTTATGATAACTTCTGTAGTTAACTTCTATAACCTATTCAGGAATCCTTATTCATGAGTCACTTTTGATAATTCGTATTTCCTAGATCATTTCTTTTAGATTTTCAAATCTGTTACTATATAGGTGTGTATAATCTTTTGTCATTAAGATCTGTGGTATTCATTTCCTTTTTTTTATTAGTGATTTCACTATTTTTCTGAATTTGCCAAATGTTTGTCTACTTAGTGGTTTTTTTTACTAACCAGCTTTGAGATTTACTTATTGTATTGGTTTTTTTTTGTTTGTTTTCTGAATGCCTGATTTCTACTTTTCTCTTTATTTTGCTCTCCTGCTTTTTTTTTTTGTTGTTAACAATGTTAACATTAAGTTAATGTTAATGTTATTAATTCTTAATGAATTCTTAGTTCCTTTAATGTGTTTTCGATGAGCGGTAATCGCTCCTCGGATAGACCTCATTGGCTACGATACCGCCACTGTGCAAAGCTAGTTCATTTTAATGTCTTTTAATAATAAAAACCTTTAATGTTCTTAATTTGCTTTTGAATGCAGCGTTGGCTGCACATTCTAATTTACATGGACAATGTTCTTCTGCTCAGTATTTTCCAAATAGCTGGTGGTTCTAGTTTTGATTTCCTCTTTGACTCAGGAGGTATTTAGGATAATTCTATTCACTCATATTTTCTTTCATTGTTGTCAGCTTCTATAATCTTTTAAAATATCTTTTAAACTTATTGAGTGTTTCTTGTGACTTAAAACATAATCCATTTTGGAAAATGTTCTATGAAAACTTAGAACATTTTCTGTTGGTAATATACAGAGTTTTATACATAACCTATTGATTAAATTTAATGACTAAGATTATTTGTATGAATTACCAGTTTTTATAAATAGTTCTTACTAAATATAGGACTTAGTCTTTATTAGTCCTAGTAAGAACTATAGTCGTTATTAATAATTCTTATTAATGTAAAAATCTTCCTAATCTGCCAAAGACAAAGAGGTAGCATTGTTTCTGAGAAGCTTGTTCTCACGTTGGGACCTTTAGATTTTTATTTCTTCTGCCTGAATGTCACTGAGGCCATATTTGAAAGAGATCTTTCATGATCACCTCTGCCTACCCCCACTCCGCATCTAACTTCCTGCCCTTCAGTGTGTTTATTTTCCTTTATAGCACTTCCATCTGAAGTTTCTTTTTCATTTATTTGGTTTTCTTTAATATACTATTCTGTTTTACAGAGCTTTGAACAAATAGGTATGAAATAAGTATGTGTTGGTTGAGTGTCACTCTCTTATTTCTAATGATTTTTAGAAATTTTTATTCATTTTAATTAATAGACTTTGCAGCATTTTAGGTTCACAGCAAAACTGAGCCTAAGGTACAGAGTTCCCATATACCCCATGCTCCTCATGCCCCTCTTCTCCAAGCCTCCTGCTCATCAACATCCTGCATCACTGTGGTATATTTGGCACAGTCAGTGAACCAGCATTCACACATCATCACTGCCCAAAGCCCACAGTTTACGTTAGGGTTTGCTCGTATGGTATTGTACATTCAGTGGGTTTTGACAAATGTATAACAACATGTCTCCACCAGTATCATACCGACTGGTTTCCGCACCTTAAAACTCTCTGCTCCACCTGTTCCTCCCACTTTTACTGCAACCCCTGGCAACCGCTGATCCTTTTACTACCTCCATCGCAATGCCTTTTCCAGAATGTCCCGTAGTTGGAATTATATAGCGTGTAGCCTTTTCAACTTGGCTTCTTTCACTTAGCAGTATGCATCTGAGGTTCTTCCGTGTCTTTTCATGGCTTGATAGCTCATTTCATTTTAGCACTGAATAATATTCCATTGTCTGGATGTACATTCACCTATTGAAGGACCAGGTTTGGTGATTATGAATAAAGCTGCTGTAAACATTGATGTGTGGAGTTTTTTATTGTGGTGTAAAATACATGTAACAGAACTTACCATCTTAACCATTTTGAAGTATACAGTTCAGTGGTACTAAATACATTTATAGTGTGCAATTATCACCACCATCCATCTCCGAAACTTTCCATCCTGCAAAACTGAAATTCTATACCCATTGAACCATAACTCCTCATTCTCCTTTCTGTCTGCATGATTTTGGCTACTCTTATGTACCTTATGTAAGTGGAATCATATTTTGTGTTTTTGTGACTTATTTCACTTATCCTCAAGCTTCATCTGTGTTGTAGCATGTCAGAAGTTCTTTTCTTTTTTTTTTGGGTGAATAGTATTCCCATGTGTGTATTTACCTTATTCTGCTTGTCCATTTATTCATCAGTAGACACTTGGATTGCTTCCGTAATTTAGGTACTGAGATTAATGCTACTACGAACATGGGTGTACAAATACCTCTTTGAGACCTTGTTTTCAGTTATTTCGGGTACATACCCAGAATGGAATTGCTGGGTCATATGATAATTCTGTGTTTCATTTTTTGAGGAACTACCGTATTGCTTTCCACAGCGCCTGTATCACTTCACGTTTCCACCAGCAGCGCACAGCAGTTCAGTTTCTCTACATCCTTTTTAACACAACCGTTGTTGTTTTTAATAGTAGCCATCCTAATGGGTATTAGGTGGTATCATGTTAGTTTTGATTTGCATTTCTCTAGCAGTTAGTGATGTTGAGCATTTTTTCATGTACTTATTGACCATTTGTATATCTTCTTTGAAAAAATGTCTATTCAAGTGCTCATGTGTAGGTTTTCGGGTGGACATAAGTTTTCAGCTGATTTGGGTGAATACCAAGGAGCATGATGGCTGGAGTGTATGGTAAGAATGTATTTCATTTTGTAAGAAACTGTTCAACTTTCTTCCAAAGTGGCTGTACCATTTTGCATTCCCACCAGCAATGGATGTGGGGGTTCCTGTTGCTTCACATCTTTTCCAGCATGTCATGTTATCATTGTTTTGGATTTTACCCATTCCAATAGGTAGTAGTGTTTCATTGTTTTCTGTTTTTTTTTTGAGATAGAGTCTTGCTCTGTTGCCTGGGCTGGAATGTAGTGGCACGATGAGAACTCACTGCAGCCTCGAGCTCCTAGGCTGAAGCGATCTTCTCACCTCAGCCTCCAGAGTAGCCAGGACTACAGATACGCTACCTTACCTGGCTATTTCTTTTTTTTTTTTTTGAAACAGAGTTTCGCTCTTGTCGCCCAGGCTGTGGTGCAATGGCATGATCTGGGCTCACTGCAACCTCCGCCTCCTGGGTTCAAGTAATTCTCATGCCTTAGCCTCCCAAATAGCTGGGATTATAGGCGCCTGCCACCACGCCTGGCTAATTTTTTGTATTTTTTTTGTAGAGATGGGATTTCACCATATTGGCCAGGTTGGTCTCGAACTCCTGAGCTCAGGTGATCCATCCACCTCTGCCTCCCAAAGTGCTGGGATTACAGGCGTGAGCCACCGTGCCTGGCCTATACCTGGCTAATTTTTAAAATCTTTTTGTAGAGACGGTTCACTCTGTTGCGCAGGCTGGTAGATACTTCTTTTGCAGATATTTTTTTTCTAAGTCTGTGGTTTAAGTTCTCATTCTCCCAACTCTGATGATTTCTGTCATGTTTTGATTCAGTATTATTTGGTACGTGTGTAAATTCTACACTGCTCAAGATCTTCATTATGAATTGTACCTCATCCATGAAAATGATTGTCCTGTACGATCATGATTTAACATTTTTGCATCTTATATTTTGCTTGTCTTAAATTCCTGTTGTACTTTGTTTTTTGTTCAATAAATTATTCAACATTATCTTTCCTTGCTGTTTTTTGTTGTGTCTTTTTAAAATTGCGTGTAGTTTATTTTTGCTTTATTCCAAAGTGAATGCTTAAAACATATTAATGCTTAAAGCATTAAAAATGAATGCTTAAAACCTAAAATAAAGTTTAAAAAAAAAAAAAACCAAAACATGTTTATTATAATAAATGCTTTCTGGTATGTTTCTGTTATTTTATTTAATGCTTTCTGTTTTTTAATGATTAATTGTTGCTTTTTTTAATTGTTGTAAAATACATGTAACATAAAATTACCATCTTAAACGTTCTTAAGTGTACAGTTCTTTGGCATTAAGTACTCACGTTGTGGTACAACTTTCCCTACCATCTGTCTTCAGAATTTTTTTCATCTTCCCCAACTGAAACTCGGTACTCATTAAACATTAACTCCTCATTCCCTACCTCCAGCCCCCAGTAGCCTATCTCTAATCTGTTTTCTGTCTCAATGAACTTGCCTCTTCTGGATATTTCTTATAACTGGAATCGTGCAATGTTTGTCCTTTTGTGTCTCGCTCATTATTTCATGTAGCGCAGTATTTTCAGGGTTTATCCATTTTGTAGCATATAGTATAGGTTGAGCATCGCTAATCTGAAAATCCAAAATCCGAAATGCTCCAAATTCCAGCACTTTCTGAGTGCTGACATGACATCACAAGTGGAAAATTCCATATGTAAGTACTTAATGCAAACCATGTTTCGTGCACAAAATTATTTAAAATATTGGCCAAGCATAGTGGCTCACTCCTGTAATCCTAGCACTTTGGGAGGGCAAGGTGGGTAGATTGCTTGAGGCCAGGAATTCAAGACCAGCCTGGCCAACATGCTAAAACCCCGTCTCTACTAAAAATAGAAAAATTAGCCAGCGTGGTGGCACGCACCTGTAATCCCAGCTACTCGGGAGGCTGAGGCATGAGAATCTCTTGAGCCCAGAGGGCGGAGGTTGCAGTGAGCCCAGATCACACCACTGCAGTCCAGCCTGGGTGACAGAGCAAGACTGTCCCCCCAAAAAACACACAAATTTATTTATATACATATATATATATATATATATAATTCAGGCTATATATAAAAGGCATTTATGAAACACAAATGAATTTCTTTTTTTTTTTTTTTTTTTTGAGACCGTTTCACTCTTGTTGCCCAGGTTGGAGTACAATGGCGCAGTCTCAGCTCACTGCAACCTCCTCCTCCCAGGTTCAAGTGATTCTCCTGCCTCAGTCTCCTGAGTAGCTGGGATTACAGGCGCATGCCACCACTCTCAGCTAATTTTTGTATTTTGAGTAGAGATAGGATTTCACCATGTTGGCCAGGCTGGTCTTGAACTCTTGACCTCAGGTGTTCTGCCTGCCTCGGCCTCCCAAAGTGCTGGGATTACAGGTGTGAGCCACCACACCCAGCCACAAGTGAATTTCATATTTAGATTTGGGTCTCATCCCCAACATATCTCATTATGTGTATGCAAATATTCCAGTATTAGAACTCTGAGACAGTTCTAGCCCCAAGCATTTTGCATTTTGGATAAGGGATACTCAACCTGTAGTACTTAATTCCTTTTTAAGGGTGAGTAATACTCCATTCTATGTATTATACCACTTTTGTTTATCTGTTCACCTATCAATGTTTTCTTTTTTTGCTTTGTAAATTGTATTTGGTTTGCTTTTATCTCAGATATTTGGAATGTATACATCCTGTTTTTAAAGTATATTAGCTTAAGTGAATTCAAGTCTAAATCTAAATTGAAAAAAAATTTTCTGATCTGTAAGCCTGAAAAAGAAAATTGTTTTGACTCTTCCTATATCTGAAGATTATAAGATTTTTTTCTCTTAACCCTTTCTCACTTTATCCTCCTTTCACCTCCGTGGTGAGCTTGGGACACAGAATATTGTTAATGTATTTTTTGTATATTTCATGTTTCTAATTCCATCTTCTTTTGGTAATTTTGTTTTATTTATTTGTTTGTTTGTTTGTTTGTTTGAGACAGAGTTTCACTCTGTTGCCCAGGCTGGAGTGCAATGGCGCAATCTCAGCTCACTGCAAGCACCTCTTCCCTGGTTCAAGCAATTTTCCTGACCTCAGCCTCCCGAATAGCTGGGATTACAGGCGTGTACCACCACGCCTGGCTAATTTTTATATTTTTAGTAGAGACAGGGTTTTGTCGTGTTGGTCTCAAACTCCTGGCCTCAAGTGATCCGTCTGCCTTGGCCTCCCAAAGGGCTGGTAGTAAAAGCATGAGCCACCACGTCTGGCCTATTTATTTTTGAGACAAGGTCTCGCTCTTGTCCCAAGCTCACCATGGAGGTGAAAAGAGGGTAACGTGAGAATGGGTTAAGAGAAAAAAAAATTTTTTTTTTTTTTGAGACGGAGTCTCCCTGTGTCACCCAGGCTGGAGTGCAGTGGTGCCGATGGCTCACTGCAACTTCCGCCTCCCGAGTTCAGGCCTGAATAGCTGGGATTACAGGCACCCACCACCACGCCTGGCTAATTTTTGTATTTTTAGTAGAGACGAGGTTTCATCATGTGGGCCAGGATGGTCTCGATCTCCTGACCTCGTGATCCGCCCGCCTCAGCCTCCCAAAGTGCTGGGATTGCAGGTGTGAGCCACCGCGCCGGGCCTGAGAAAAAAATCTTATAATCTTCAGATATAAGAAGGTTGCCCAGTTTGGAGTGCAGTGGTGCAACCTCAGCTTGCTGCAGTCTTTCAGGCAGTCCTCCCATCTCAGCCGCCTGAGTAGCTGGGACTACAGGCACATGCCACCACACCCGCCTAATTTCTGGGCTCACGTGATCCTATCTTCCTGCCCCAGCCTCCCTAAGTGCTGGGATTGCAGGTGAGAGCCACCACACCTGGCCTAATTATTTCTTTTATCTCGCTAATTACATTTAGTATTAACACAAGTTATTGAAACCTTGTTTATGTGAATTCATTGCTCATTGCCAGCTTTCTGTTTTACATTTAAATTCATTAGTCATGTATACCATCTAGTGTACATTTTCAGCTAGTATTTTCACTAGGAGTACCTGGAAGCCACATTTAATGATTTAGATTGCTAACTTCCCTCAGAAATTCTGTTGATGTTGTTCTATCGCCTTGCATTAATCATTTTGTTTTTTTCCTGTGCCTGGATGGTGGTAGGAATTTTCCTTTTTCTTTTTTTAAAAATATTTTGACAGATTCTGTCTTGTACATGTTCACTAATGTTGCCTGAAACATTAGTTCCTTATGATCTTTGTACTTGGTGCTTTTTAAAAAATTTCCAATAATACTTTTGGTGATTACTTTTGTTTCAATTGTTCTGTTTCCTTCCTTGAAAACACATGTAATTATTAGGTTGGCTCACCATTTCTGTCCCCTATGTGAACTGCTCAAAAGTTTGCCCTTTTTTACCACTCGTTTGATTTTTCTTTTTCACTTCTAATGTTGGCTTTATTTCTGCTATTGCAATCTTAATTTCTTAGTATCCTTTTAAAATTTATCTCACTTTTCTTAAATTATCTTATCTCATCCTGGTTTCTTCTCTCCATATACTCCTGTTTTGTGTCATTTGCTAAATTGTGACTGGAAGTTCCTGAAGTAATTTACCTTGTAAGTTAGGTTCTGCTTTTGTGTGAAGGGTAATCTTCCTTGTGGTTTTCTTTTGCTATTAGGATCAGTGCTGGATTTCTTACTGCCTACTTACCATTGAACAGTAACTGTTATGTCCTGTCTCATGTGCATTTGTCAGAGATGTGTGTGTGTTTTCCTTGCCTCTCCAGGGGACTGGAGTTCTGATGAAACCGCTTCTCAGATGTATTTCTGAGGGATAAATACACAGCTCCCGGCCTGATTTCCAGTGATGAACAGACATTCCTCTTCATATGGTATTCTGGGCTAGGGTAGTAGGATCTTACCCTACCCTGTTTCTGTCTTTGTGAGTCTGAACTGATGATGTATGAGAGTGGCCCTCATTTCTAGCATGTGCTGCTGTTACAGGTTTTCTGATTCTGATCTTACACCCACAACATAACACTCTCCTTGTTACTTCACTAAACCTCCCAGGAAGCAGTGTGTCCATTCGGGTTTTCCTGCCCTTACACAGCCCCGCTGGAACCTTACCTGCACACGGGCGCAGACACACACTTCCTGGTTTGCTTTCTGGAATTTGCGCCTGGTAATCTCCCTGAATGTATGTTGAGAGATCACAGAAGATAAGGAACTGTGGCTGCCACAAAAACTGCCTCTGTGTAGCAAGGAGTGGCTGACCAATTCTTGATTCTGCTTTGATTCTTCAAAGCCGACTCTGAGTCTCCAAATAAAGCGATGGCTAGTAGGGAGAGACAAGATATCTTCATAGTTCTTTTAGGCAGATGATTGAACTTTGTTTTATGAGGCAGAGCATGGCTGGGTCACGAGTCTTTTTGCAGTACAGTTGACCTTAAAGCTAATTGAAATCCTTCAAAGATCTCATATAAATTGTATTGGTGGAGATTTGGGACAGACTACGTTGGAGATTTCTGATTTGATAGCATTATTTACTAGAGTAAACCTGTTCCAATTTTTTGAAACTTAGGTAATCACTTAAGTAGTAACATCAGTCTTGACCTTCATCTTTTAATAAAAGATTTTACCTCAGATTGATAGATTTTCACTTTGGTAGTAGGAGAATGGTATCTTGTTCCATTTTGCATCTGTTTGATAAATCTAGTGAGGCTGAAAATTTTTCCTATGTCTATGGACCCTCCCTCCCCATTTTTCCATTTTGAATTGCTATTTGGGGTTCATGGCCAAAATTAGGAAAAACTAGACTTCAGAGTGTTTACGCATTTCTTCTTCCGACTTTTTTTTTTTTTTTTTTGAGATGGAGTTTGGCTCTTGCTGCCCAGGCTGGAGTGCAGTGGCACAATCTCGGCCCTCTGTAACCTCTACTTCCCGGGTTCAAGTGACTCTCCTGCCTTAGCCTCCTGAGTAGCTGGGATTATAGGTATGTGCCACCACGCCTGGCTAATTTTGTATTTTTAGTAGAGATGGGGTTTCTCCACGTTGGTCAGGCTGGTCTCGAATTCCTGACCTCAGGTGATCCGCCTGCCTCAGCCTCCCAAAGTGTTGGGATTACAGGCGTGAGCCACTGCACCCAGACTTCTTCTTTTTTTTTTTGAGACGGAGTCTCGCTTTGTTGCCAGCCTGGAGTACAGCGGCATGATCTTGGCTCACTGCAACCTCCGCCTCCTGGGTTCAGGCGATTCTGCTGCCTCAGCCTCCTTAGTAGCTGGGGTTACAGGCGAGCACCACCATGCCTGGCTAATCTTTGTATTTTCAATAGAGACGGGGTTTCACTGTGTTGGTCTGGCTGGTGTTGAACTCTTGACCTCATGATCCGTCTGCCTTGGCCTCCCAAAGTGCAGGGATTACAGGTGTGAGCCACCGCACCCGGCCCCTTCCAACTTTTTAAGTAATCTTTCTTGTTGCTGACTTGTTGTCTCCCTGTTCCCTACCGTCAGGCAGTTTTGAAGCATTTTCTGAGCCTCGCCACTTGACTTCCTTTACGCTTTGTCATTGTTTCAGTTTTTTAATGTGGTGATTGAGTGAAAGCCAAGGGGAAGAAGAAAAAGAGAAAAAAGGGTCACATTTGAATTACAAAATGCCTTTACACTCCCTGTGTCCTCTGTATATAGATACCTTCCTCTCTTTCTTTGCCTGACAAATTCCTTTTCATCCTTCAAAAAGCAATTCTGGGTTTTTTTTGCCTAATTACTCTCATCTAAACAGGAGCTCCGGGTCCCCCTTTCCAGTGCGTTCCACTGGGCCCTGTCAGCAGCTTAACTCATTTCAGAGTAGTTGTTATTTGTGAGCTCCAAACTGAGACTTAACTCTTTTAGGCACTTAATAAATATTTGAATGAATGAATAAATTAGGAGTATTAGTAACAAAATGCTTGGGCTGGGCGTGGTGGCTCATGCCTGTAATCCCAGCACTTTGGGAGGCCGAGCTGGGAGGATCACAAGGTCAGGAGTTCAAGACCAGCCTGCCCAATATGGTGAAACCTTGTCCGTACTAAAAATACAAAAATTAGCTGGGCGTGATGGCACGCGCCTGTAGTCCCAGCTACTCGGGAGGCTGAGGCAGAAGAATCGCTTGAACCCGGGAGGAGGAGATTGTAGTGAGCTGAGATTGTGCCACTGCACTCTAGCCTGGGTGACAGAGCAAGATTCCATCTCAAAAAAGAAAGAAAGAAACAAAATGCTTATTCCTTGGTGCTGCAATGAAATAGCACTCAGCATAAATTTAACTTTCTCAGCAAGGCAGTTTTACTTGCTGCATAAAGGGTGCTCCTCGCAGATGGAACAATGGTGAGAGCACACCTGAACAAGGGAGGGGAAGGGGTTCTTATTCCTGACACAGGTAGCCCCTATTGTTGTGTCATTCCCCTGTTGGCTAGGGTTGGACTGCACTGTCTAAGCTAATTCCGATTGGCTATTTTAAAGAGACCAGGGGGTATGAGCCAGAGTGGCAGGCTGAGTAGTTTAGTGGGAAGGACGGTTAGGAACAGGTAACTCAAGGTGACTTAGGTCAGAGCAGGTGACCAGGGGTGACTCAGGTCAAAGCAGGTGACTGGGATGAGTCAGGACAGAGCAGGTGACTGGGGGAACAGATGTGAACTACTGATGAAAACTGGTGGAAAAGGTTGTTTAGTGAAACTACGCTGAAGTTAAACTTTAAAATGGAGGGCAATACTGGTTCTTTGAAGAGAAATCTAGAACTCACTGTATCCAACAGGAGAGATTTACAAAGAGTTTCTGTTATTTTTTCCATCCACGTCATTTCCCTGCTTAGTAACTTCTAGTGTGAAAATATCAAAAGCAGGTATCTCTGAGAAGTGGACTTAGGCTTATTCTTCTTTTCTTTTAGACCTTATTCTGGTTTGAGGTTTTTGTGATCATCATGTACTACTTTTATTATATAAGAATAAAAAAAAATTAACCCCAAACCCCTCAAATTTCCAGGCGCTTCCTGTTGCCCAGACCCTGCACCATTCTGGCCCCACTCAGCCTAGTTTTATTTCCCACTGCTTGCCAGCTGTGCCCTGTGATCTCCTTGCTGTCTCATGAGCTACGTGGTACTTATGTTCCTGTTGCCTGGAATCCCGTCTTCTGGTCAGGAAGATGATCTGCGATAAATACCGAGAATACTCGCGTTAGATACTGAATAGTGAGAGTTTAGACTCACGACCTGGGGTGTCATCTTGAACATACGGTGCTTAAGGGATGAGGTTTCTGGGTCAGTTTTATTGGTTGTGATGAACAAGATAAATGGAGCATTTGTCTTAGCTTCTAGAATAGTGACCTTAAAAGAGATAGAACAGTGAATGTATCTTCAAACTTGCCTGGGTCTCCACTAGCCTAAAGAAGAAAAAACCCTTTAATTCTGATGCTGTCACAGATGAAATCCTTTCATTCACTGATTTATTCATTCAAGAAATAATGACTCATCACCTACTCTGGGCTAAACACAGTGTCCAGTGTGATGGTGATGTAATGGTCAACAAGATAGATACTCACTGGGTCCTTGCCTGTGGAGTTTATACGTAGTTAGAGAAGACAGACATTAAAAGAAGAAATCCAGTGTGATGAATGTTGAGATAAAAGGAAATAAACCAATACTTGTGGCAGTGAAGAGGTATCAGAGGTTTCCTGAGAGAATGACATTTAAGCTAGTACTTGAAGTAGGTGTTTGCCAGGTGGAGGTGGTGGGCAGAAAGTAGAGTCATCAGTTCATTCTGGTTTGTCCACGGCTTTCCTGGTTTTAGCACGACACGTCCCGTGTCCGGGGAGGTCATGTGCGAAAGCTTCAGATGGCAATTAAAGAAACAGTAAGAATAGAAAAAACTTAAAGCCTGAAGAGGGAAAGACTAAAGTGAGATGAGTCTAGAAAGTTAGACAGGAGCCTGATGATGCACGCACTGTTGGGCTTTACCTAAGAACCATGAGAAGGTTTTAAGTGGGAGGATGAAGTGATAGTATTTTTATTTTATTTTATTTTAGTTTATTTTATTTTGAGAAAGTGTCTCGCTCTACTGCCCAGGGTGGAGTGTACCCTGGCATGATCTCAGCTCACAGCAGCCTCCACTTCCTGGTTCGGGCGATTCTCATGCCTCAGCCTCCTGAGTAGCTGGGACAGCAGGCACTCATGATCACGCCTGGCTAAATTTTATATTTTTTTAGTAGAGACACAGTTTCACCATGTTGCCCAGGCTGGTCTTGAACTCCTGACCTCAAGTGATCTGCCCACCTCAGTGTGCCAAAGTGCTGGCATTACAGGCATGAGCCACCACACCCGTCCAAGGATGTTAATTTCTTAAAAAGGGAAAAACTTACACATTTTTATTCTCGTATTTTTCTGTCACTGGATAGAAACATTACTAGCAGAGTAAATAATCCAGATGCCTGTCTTCAGCCTTTTTGTCAGACATGAAGAGTAAGCATAGAAGGTAGGAGGCATGGCTGTGAGGTCGTTGAAGTGATCTTTTCCTGAACACAGCAAATACTATAAATGGTTTTTGTCACCATTGAAGTAGTCCCATTGAGAGACTGCCTGATTATCCCAGTGATGCTTCCACTCTTCAGATTATTTCTAGAACTCTTCTTTTTGCATTGCCCTGGGAGCCTCTGGCATATTCTTCAGAGTTTCTTCTTCACCAGAGGCAAACTTTTCATCCTTGCCTGTGCCTCTGTTTCAGGTCAGTTTCTCTTGCTCTCTGCATCTATGTTTGGCCCAATTGGTTTCTTTCTTTTCCTTAAAAATTCCTTAAATTTTAAAAAAACAGATATTCATATACAGTAAAATTCACCCTTTAAGGTATACAGTTAAGTGGTTTTTTTTGTTTTTTTTTTTTTTTTTTTTTTTTTTTTTTTTTTTTTTTGAGATAGAGTCTTGCTCTGTCACCCAGGCTGGAGGCTGGAGTACAGTGGCGTGATCTCGGCCCACTGCAACCTCTGCCTCCCAGGTTCAAGCAATTCTTCTGCCTCAGCCTCCAGAGTAGTTGGGACTACAGGCACGCACCACCACGCCCAGCTAATTTTTGTATTTTTAGTAGAGATGGGGTTTCACCATACTGGCCAGGCTGGTCTTGAACTCCTGAGCTCGTGATCTGCCCGCCTCAGCCTCCCAAAGTGCCGGGATTACAGGCGTGAGTCACTGTGCCCAGCCAGTTAAGTGGGTTTTTTAAGTGTGCTCACAAAGTTATACAGCCGTCCCCACTATCTAATTACAGAATATTTGCACCACCTCAGAGAGAAATACTGCACTGAATAGCAGTGACTCCTTATTTCATCTCCCCGCCGGCCCCAAATACCACTAATCTATTTTTTGTCTCATGAATGGAATGATACAATATGTGGTCTTTTGTGACTGGTTTCTTTCATTTAACACAGTGTTTTCAAGGTCCATCCATGCTGTGGCATCTCTCAGCACTTCATTCCTTTTACAGTCAAATGGTATTCCATTGTATGGGTGAAAGAGACAGGGTCTTCTATATTGTCCAGGCTAGTCTTGAACTCCTGGGCTCAAGTGATCCTCCTGCCTCAGCCTCTTAAGTAGCTGGGATGGTGCACACCTGGGTTATTTTCAGTTTTTTGTTTGTTTGTTTGTTTTGAGACAGCGTCTTGCACTGTCGCCCAGGCTGGAGCACACTGGCGCGATCTCAGCTCACTACAACCTCCGTCTCCCGGGTTCAAGCAATTCTCCTGCCTCAGCCTCCTGAGTAGCTGGGATTGTAGGTGCCCACCACCACACCCAGCTAATTTCTGTATTTTTAGTAGAGACAGTATTTCTCCATGTTGGCCAGGCTGGTCTCGAACTCCTGAGCTCAGGTGAACCGCCGGCCTCAGCCTCCCAAAGTGCTGGGATTACAGGTGTGAGCCACCAAGCCTGGACTCTGAGTATGATTTCTTACCTCATTGTTCATATTTCTACAGTGATAAGTAGGCATCATCCATGTGCAGCCGCATTATGGGCCTGTAACCATGACCGGTCTGTGAGTTTGAGCAGTTTGAATGCATAAGGATGCATTCTTATGCTATCCAAATTATTTGTGCTTTGCTGGTGAAGATTCTGAAACAAGGTGTGTCATTAGAAAGTGTTTACTTGTTTATAACGGCCTTAAACTACTGAAGGTGTATAGGATATTTATGAGTCGTGATTCAAAGTGTGAGTTTAAACGTTTGTTGGTGCCTCCGTGTTAAAAGCATTATGTTAGATAGTGTCAGATAGGTACAGAGATGTATGGAAAGTGTTACCTGCCAGCCAGTTTATAATCTTGTAGAAAAAAGAAAAGTTAGGGCTGAGCACAGTGGCTCAAGCCTGTAATCCCAGCACTTTGGGAGGCTGAGGCGGATGGAGATCAGGAGTTCAAGACCAGCCTGACCAACATGGAGAAACCCTGTCTCTACTAAAAATACAAAATTAGCCGGGTGTGGTTGTGCATACCTGTAATCCCGGCTACTCGGTAAGGCTGAGGCAGGAGAACCGCTTTTTTTTTTTTTTTTTAATTTATTTTTTTATTGATAATTCTTGGGTGTTTCTCACAGAGGGGGATTTGGCAGGGTCATGGGACAATAGTGGAGGGAAGGTCAGCAGATAAACAAGTGAACAAAGGTCTCTGGTTTTCCTAGGCAGAGGACCCTGCGGCCTTCCGCAGTGTTTGTGTCCCTGATTACTTGAGATTAGGGATTGGTGATGACTCTTAACGAGCATGCTGCCTTCAAGCATCTGTTTAACAAAGCACATCTTGCACCGCCCTTAATCCATTTAACCCTGAGTGGACACAGCACATGTTTCAGAGAGCACAGGGTTGGGGGTAAGGTCACAGATCAACAGGATCCCAAGGCAGAAGAATTTTTCTTAGTGCAGAACAAAATGAAAAGTCTCCCATGTCTACTTCTTTCTACACAGACACGGCAACCATCCGATTTCTCAATCTTTTCCCCACCTTTCCCGCCTTTCTATTCCACAAAGCCGCCATTGTCATCCTGGCCCGTTCTCAATGAGCTGTTGGGCACACCTCCCAGACGGGGTGGTGGCCGGGCAGAGGGGCTCCTCACTTCCCAGTAGGGGCGGCCGGGCAGAGGCGCCCCTCACCTCCCGGACGGGGCGGCTGGCCGGGCGGGGGGCTGACCCCCACCTCCCTCCCGGATGGGGCGGCTGGCCGGGCGGGGGGCTGACCCCCCCCCACCTCCCTCCCGGACGGGGTGGCTGCCGGACGGAGACGCTCCTCACTTCCCAGATGGGGTGGCTGCCGGGCGGAGAGGCTCCTCACTTCTCAGACGGGGCAGCTGCCGGGCGGAGGGGCTCCTCACTTCTCAGACGGGGTGGTTGCCAGGCAGAGGGTCTCCTCACTTCTCAGACGGGGCGGCCGGGCAGAGACGCTCCTCACCTCCCAGACGGGGTCTTGGCCGGGCAGAGGCGCTCCTCACATCCCAGATGGGGCGGCGGGGCAGAGGCGTCCCCCACATCTCAGACGATGGGCGCCCGGGCAGAGACGCTCCTCACTTCCTAGATGGGATGGTGGCCGGGCGCAGACGCTCCTCACTTTCCAGACTGGGCAGCCAGGCAGAGGGGCTCCTCACATCCCAGACGATGGGCGGCCAGGCAGAGACACTCCTCACTTCCCAGACGGGGTGGCGGCCGGGCAGAGGCTGCAATCTCGGCACTTTGGGAGGCCAAGGCAGGCGGCTGGGAGGTGGAGGTTGTAGTGAGCCGAGATCACGCCACTGCACTCCAGCCTGGGCACCATTGAGCACTGAGTGAACGAGACTCCGTCTGCAATCCCGGCACCTCGGGAGGCCGAGGCTGGCGGATCACTCGCGGTTAGGGGCTGGAGACCGGCCCGGCCAACACAGCGAAACCTCGTCTCCACCAAAACCAGTCAGGCGTGGCGGCGCATGCCTGCAATCGCAGGCACTCGGCAGGCTGAGGCAGGAGAATCAGACAGGGAGGTTGCAGTGAGCTGAGATGGCAGCAGTACAGTCCAGCTTCGGCTCCGCATGAGAGGGAGACCGTGGGGAGAGGGAGAGGGAGAGGGAGAGAGGAGAACCGCTTTAACCGGGGAGGCGGAGGTTGCAGTGAGCCGAGATCGTGCCATTGCACTCCAGCCTGGGCAACGAGAGTGAAACTCCGTCTCAAAAAAAAAAAAAAGAAGAAAAGTTAGAAGCCAGGTGACTGAATTTCAAGGAAGTGTGCAAGTACCATATGGATGGATGGGACTGTATCATTCTGGGTCCAATCAGGAGAGAGAAGCCATACAGTAATTTGAACATGAAAAAACATAATTGACTGACTATAACAGGGTAATTGAGTAATGAGGGATTAGCCAGTAAAAAAATAGAGCTCTAAAGAACATTGGAATAGCAAAAGTAAGAAGCAGCTACTTCCCCTAGGGCTGAGATAGACCCCCCACCCCCTGCCTGGGAAAGAGCTATTCCTTTTCCCAGAGCTGAGATCCAGACCTTATTGGAGAGAGCGTGGTTGTAAATCACTGAATGGCAGAGATGTTTCTGCCATTTAATGGTTCTTTGTTGGCCATAGTTGTTGGACATCTGCCCTTTAGGGTGCCAAGGAGAATTATTAACTCTGATACAAAACTGCTCAAAAAGAGTATGTGGGGTGGCTCCCTGTTGCAGTAGACTCAGTGCTGCTGGCCACCTTCCCCTATTGGAGTCTGATGCTGGAGGAGCTGCCTGCCCATCAGGAGTCTTGTGACAACTGGAACCAGGAAGCAAAACTCCTTTTCTTCTGTGATGTCTCTCCAGCGCCCTATATCGACAAAGCTTAGCATCGTGTCCCGGCAAAGGAAAAATGCTTGAAGGCCTCAGATCCGTTTTCGGAATGGACAGAAATGATGAATTTGGAATGGAGAGGCACTAGATCAGTAACTGGCAGGAGAATGGTATTAACTGCTGCGGGAGCTCAGAGACGGAGCAGAGGTCACATGACAGTAAAAGAAGTATTTGAGAAAGAGCTTAGAAGATGAGTAGATTTTTAAATTGAAGATTGCTTACGTTTTCATGGCAAAATAGTATCTGCATTTTAGAAAAAATAGAATATAGACAAGTATTATTGTCTATTTTCTATAGAAAGAAAGGAAAGGCACTCAGATCACTGTCTACAAAGAGATCCAGTGTTAATTGCTTGATAAAAGGTGTCTGGCCAGGCTCTGTCACCCAGGCTGGAGTGCAGTGGTGTGGCACGATCACGGCTCACTGCAAGCTCTGCCTCCTGGGTTCATGCCATTCTCCTGCCTCAGCCTCCAGAGTAGCTGGGACCACAGGCGCCCACCACCACGCCCGGCTATTTTTTTTTTTTTTTGTATTTTTAGTAGAGATGGGGTTTCACCGTGTTAGCCAGGATGGTCTTGATCTCCTGACCTCAGGTGATCCACCTGCCTCCGAAAGTGCTGGGATTACAGGCGTGAGCCACCGCGCCCGGCCTGCTGCTGCTTTTGTATCTTTGCAGAAAACAATTGGCTTTTAGGTGTAATAATGCTAAACTTTATAAACAGACACTGGGAAAAACTTCCTACTTTTGGTATTTCAACTGTGAAGTTTATTTGCATAACTTCTTTATGATAAGTTTGTCAAATAAACATTTTAGCGCTCTTCAAGTGACCTTTAGGAAGAGATTTTCTGATGGAACATCGTATCTTAGAAGTCCATTTTTTCTTGCCAGGCGCAGTGGCTCACACCTATAATCCCAGCACTTTGGGAGACCAAGACGGGCAGATCACTTGAGGTCAGGAGTTCAAGACCAGCCTGGCCAACATGGTGTGAAGCCGCATCTCTACTAAAAATACAAAAAATTAGCCAGGCATGGTGGCGGGTGTCTGTAATCCCAGCTACTCGGGAGGCTGAGGCAGGAGAATCACTTGAACCTGGGAGGCGGAGGTTGCAGTGAGCCGAGATTGTGCCACTGCACTCCAGCCTGGGTGACAGAGCGAGACTCTGTCTCAAAAAAAAATAAATAAATAAATACAGATAGAAGTCAACTTTAAAGCTAATACCCAATTTCTAATTTAATTTAATTTAATTTTTTAAAATAGCGTCTTGCCACGTTGCCCAGGCTGGTCTCTAACTAGTGGGCTCAGGCAGTCCTCCCGCCTCACCCTCCCAAAATGTTGGGATTACAGCTGTGAGTCACTGCACCGACCCCAAATTTTCTTTTCTTTTCTTTCTTTTTTTTTTTTTTTTTTTGAGACGGAGTCTTGCTCTATTGCCCAGGCTGGAGTGCAGTGGTGCGATCTCGGCTCACTGCAAATTCCGCCTCCCGGGTTCACGCCATTCTCCTGCCTCAGCCTCCTGAGTAGCTGGGACACTACAGGCACCCGCCACCACGCCCAGCTAATTTTTTGTATTTTTAGTAGAGACGAGGTTTCACCGTGTTAGCCAGGATGGTCTCGATCTTCTGACCTCGTGATCCACCTGCCTCGGCCTCCCAAAGTGCTGGGATTACAGGCATGAGCCACCGTGCCCGGCCTTTTTTTTTTTTTTTTTTTTTTGAGACAGGGTCTCGCTCTGTCACCCAGACTGGAGTGCAGTGGCGTGATCTCAGCTCACTGCAACCTTTGCCTCCCGAGTTCAAGCGATTCTCTTGCCTCAGCCTCCTGAGTAGCTGGGATTACAGGCACACACCACCATGCTCATCTAATTTTTTTGCATTTTTAGTAGAGACGGGGTTTTGCCATGTTGGCCAGGCTGGGCTCGAACTCCTGGCCTCAAGCAATCCCCCACCTCCGCCTCCTGAGTAACTGGGATTACAGGTGCGAGCCACCGCATCCAGCCTGCCAAATTTTCTAAAGTAGTTTTGCCAGTTTATACTCCTGCCAGCTGTATATAAGAATTCTCTTTGTGCCATATTCCTGATAACACTTGATTTGAATCAGCCTTCTTGTTTTTTGCCAATGTAGAAGGTGTAAAATGGTATCTGCTAGAGGCCTTAATTTACATTTCATTAATGTCTGAGGTTGGACATATTCTTATGTATGTGTTCATTATTTGTCATCACTTGTGAGAATAGATAATACAGGTATTACTCCATTATATTGGTGGTTAAATAAAGGGACTAAAAGGAAGAGTGATTTGGCTTTCAGTATGCAACTTGATAAGTGGCAGTAGTTTATTTGCCTAGACTGGCTAACATTGTTTATTTGAAAAACACATTTTGAGTTTCTGTGATGTATATAACACTTTGCTAGGTGCTCCTTGAGAATAAAAAGAGCTATAAAATTAGTATCTTCTTTTTTTTTTTTTTTAGACGGAGTCTTGCTCTGTTGCCCAGGCTGGAGTGCAGTGGCATGATCTCGGCTCACTGCAAGCTCCACCTCCCGGGGTCAAGCGATTCTACCTCAGTCTCCTGAGTAGCTGGGATTACAAGTGAGCACCACCATGCCCACCTAGTTTTTGTACTTTTAGTAGAGATGAGGTTTCACCATGCTGGCCAGGTTGGTCTCGAACTCCTGATCTCATGATCCGCCCGCCTCGACCTCCCAAAGTGCTGGGATTACAGACATGAGCCACCATGCCTGGCCTCTTTTTTAAATTTTTATTTTTATATTTTCTTCTCAAAACTTAGTACCTTCTCACAAAGAGTAGAGTTCAGTAGAGGAAATATGATACATCATGGTAGCTGACAATAGAGGCATAACCTATAAATAATAGAGCTAATAACCCGGTCATAATCTGGTTAATGAGTGTTTGCTAACTGTGTAATACATATAATACAAAAAGTTACCATTATAGATACCATAATCTCTAAAGATGTAAGAACAGAACCAGTGCCAATTTACATTCAATTCTGTTCCGTATTTTGGTCTTCATTTAATTGTAAATGCAAATAAGGTGCATATGTCGTCTACAAAGCAAAAAAGTACAAGGATTTTCTTAAGTGATCAGTGGATGGCTATCTTACTACAAGCAGTATTGTTCATTCTTCATAAGCTGGTGATTTTATATAATTTACGGAGTTCCAAAAGCGAATATACCAAAAATATATATTCAGAGAAATCTAGGTTTTAACTTGGTCCCATCTCTCCCAAAGTAACTATTTTTTAAAATTTTGGTTCCTCCGCCAACCCCACCCCCGACCCATGCGGTAACTATGGATGGTGATGGATGTCTTAATTTGATTGTGATAATTATTGCACAGGATATATGTATATCAGATCATCATGTTGAATATATGCAATTTTGTCAATTATACCTCAGTAAAGCTGGGAAAAAATTATGGTTCTTCCATTTAAAAAAAAAATAGAAACAAGTACACCCCGTGTGTGTGTGTGTGTGTGTGTGTGTGTGTGTGTGTGTGTGTGTATTGATACACCTTCCCCCCATCTCTTTTGGTAAATGATAGCATCCCATATATATTTTTTTCTTCCAACTGGTTTTCACTTCATATATTATGGAGATTACTCCATGGCAGTATATGGAGCTATTTTCTCATTTGTTTTTATAGCTTCAAAATTATTTAGTGTAGAATGTTCTGTAGTTAGTTGAGCCATTCCCCTATTTATGGCTGTTTGAGTTACTTCCAGTCTTTTGCTGTTACTGATAATGCTACAGTGACAGCCTAGTGCATATATCTTTTTGTATTTTTGTGAGTATATCCTTTGGATAGATTTTTAGAAACGGGATATATGGGTCAAAAGGTATATATGTAGTCGGTACTCCTAAACACTGTGTTATATTGCTTTCCTATGACTTGAAAATTGTAGATTATTAAACCTATCCTCACAGAATTTTAGGAGGAAAAAATCAATTAATGCCCTGACTATAATAGAAAAAAAGAAAAGGCGAGCAATTTATAATGAAATACATGTTTTTTGTTTGTTTGTTTGTTTGTTTGAGACGGAGTCTTGCTCTGTCACCCAGGCTGGAGTGCAGTGGCATGATCTTGGCTCACTGCAACCTCCGCCTCCCGGGTTCACGCCATTCTCCTACCTCAGCCTCCCGAGTAGCTGGGACTACAGGTGACCGCCACCACGCCCAGCTAATTTTTTCTGTGTGTGCTTTTAGTAGAGACGGGGTTTCATCATGTTAGCCAGGATGGTCTCGATCTCCTGACCTCGTGATCCGCCCGCTTCGGCCTCCCAGAGTGCTGGGATTACAGGCGTGAGCCACCGTGCCCGGCTGAAATACATGTTTTTATTTGTAAATACTTGATCACAACTATACTAAAAGCCATTATGCAGTGACCAGAGACTTGTGTCTATACATAGGGGTGACCACAGTGCGGTCTCATCATATGGACTCTGCTGTTGGTGACTCAACCAGCATGAGCACAGTATTGCTAGTGACATGATTTCCAAAATTGTGAATAAACTTCTTGGTGAAGTCTGAGCCAAAGTACAAGCTCCTCTTGGTTCACATAGTGGTTGCATATCTGGAAAATTCAGTGTATGCTAAAACTGGAAAAATATTTTCATATGTGAAATAGAATTTTGTCCTCAGTTCAGATCATTATAAGTTTTAAAATGATAAATCAACACGTGGTGGGACACTGAGGAGTTGTGAGCACATTGCAAAACATCGGATACCTGTGGTCCCTGCTCATTGAATGCCAGCAGAACTGCTTTTCATTCCTAATCATGTTTATTTTTTACTCTCTTTGTTTTGATTAATTTTGCCGAGATATTTTACTAGTTTTGCCCAAGACACTATTTTTGGCTTTATTGATAGTCCTTTTTGTATATTAGTTTTCTGTTCAGTAATTTCTGATTTATCTTGATTATTTCCTTCCTACATTCTTTGGATTTATTTTACTGTTTTTTATACTTCTTAGGTTGGATGCTTAACTCGTTAATTTTTAGTTCTCCTTTATTTTATTTATATATGTATGTATGTATTTATTTATTTATTTATTTGAAACAAGGTCTCACTCTGTTGCCAAGGCTGGAGTGCAGTGGCAACCCCAACCTCCTGGGCTCAAGTGATCTTCCTGCCTCAGCCTCCCAAGTAGCTGAGATTACAAGTGCAAGCCACCATGGCCAGCTAATTCTTTATTTTTATTTATTTTTATTTTTGAGATGGAGTCTTGCTCTGTCCCTCAGGCTGGAATACGGGGTGAAATCTCGGCTCACTGCAACCTCCTCCTCATGAGTTCAAGCGATTCTCCTGCCTCAGCCTCTTGAGTAACTGGGATTACAGACGCGTCTCATCATGCCCAGCTAATTTTTGTATTTTTAGTGGAGACAGGGTTTCACCATGTTGCCCAGGATGGCCTCGAACTCCCAGACCTCAAGTGATCCACCGCGCCCAGCCCCCCAGAGTGCTGGGATTACAGGTGTGAGCCACCGTGCCCGGCCTACTTTTATTTTTTTACAGGGTCTTGCTCTGTTACCCAGGCTGGAAGTTCTCCTTTTTTGATGTAAACATTCAGAGCTAGCTGGGCACTGTAGTGCACACCTATAATCCCAGCAATTTGGGAGGCCAAGGAGGATGGATCAGTTGAGCCCAGGAGTTCAAGACCAGCCTGGGCAACATAGGGAGGCCCTTTCTCTACAGAAAATACAAAAATTAGCTGGGCGTGATGGTGCACGCCTGTGGTGCCAACCACTCGGAGGCTGAGGTGGGAGGATTACTTGAGCCCAGGAGGTTGCTGCAGTGAGCCGTTATTGCACCACTGCACTCCTGCTTGGGTGACAGTGAGTCTCAAAAAAATAATATAAATAAAAATTCAGAGCTGTAAGGGCTTCGTATCCTAGTTTTTTGTTGTGCTGCTGGTGAAATATACATAACATAAAATGTATTATTTAAGCATTTTTAGGTGTATAATTTGGTGGCATTAAGTATATTCAATGTTGTACAACCATCACCACCATCCTTTTCCAGAGCATTTTCATCATCCCAAGCAGCAATTCCGCATCCCGGCCAGGCGTGGTGGCTCACGCCTGTAATCCCAGCGCTTTGGGAGGCCAAGGCGGGCGGATCACGAGGTCAGGAGATCGAGACTGTCCTGGCTAACACGGTGAAACCCCGTCTCTCCTAAAAAAAAAAATACAAAAAATTAGCTGGGCGTGGTGGTAGGCGCCTGCAGTTCCAGCTACTGGGGAAGCTGAGGCAGGAGAATTGCTTGAACCTGGGAGGCAGGGCTTGCAGTGAGCTGAGATCATGCCACTGCACTCCAGCCTGGGCGACAGAGCGAGACTCTGTCTCAAAAAAGAAAAAGAAAAAGAAAAAGAAATTCCGCATCCATTAAGCCGTAACTCTGCATGTTGCACTTTGCCCCGTCTCTAATGACCTTTATTCTACTTTCTGTCTATGAATTTGACTAAGGTATCTCACTTGAGTGAAATTAATACAGTGTTTGTTAGGCCGGACATGGCAGCTCACACCTGTCATCCCAGCACTTTGAGAGTCCACAGTGGGAGGATAGCTTGAGCTAAGGAGTTCAAGACCAGCCTGAGCAACATAGTGAGACCTTGTCTCTGCTAAAAAGTTTAAAAGTTAGCTGGGGATGGTAGTATGCACCTGTAGTTCCAGCTACTTAGGAGGCTGAGGTGGGAGGATCACTGGAGCCCAGGAGGTTTAGACCGCAGTGAGGTCTGATCATGCCATTGTAATCCAGCCTGAGTGACAGAGTGAGACCCTATCTCCATTAAAAGTATATATATACAGTATTTGTCCTTTTGTGTTTGGCTTATTTTACTTAGCATATTATTTTCAGAGTTCATTTTTATTAATAATATATATCAGAATTTCATTCCTGAGCCAGTATGGTGGCATGTACCTGTAGTCTCAGCACAGCTACTTGGGAGGATCAGGTGGGAGGATTGCTTGAGTTCAGGAGCTGAAGGGCTGCAGTGCTGCCCTCTGATCATGCCTGTGAGTAGCCACTGTGCTCCAGCCTGGGCAACACGGCAAGACCCCATCTCTTAAAAAAAGAATTGTTTGTGTGTATATATGCCACATTTTGTTTATTCAATCCTGCAAGTTTTTTATATATAGTATTTTATTTTATTGTATTGTATTGTATTTTAAAGACAGAGTCCAGCTCTGTCTCCTACGCTGGAGTGCAGTGGCACCATCTCGGCTCACTGTAATCTCCGCCTCCCGGGTTCAAGCAATTCTCCTGCCTCAGCTTCCCGAGTAGCTGGGATTGCAGGCGCATGCCACCACGCCCGACTAATTTTTGCATTTTTAATAGAATCAGGGCTTCACTATGTTGACCAGGCTGGTCTCAAACTCCTGACCTCAAGTGATCTGCCCACCTTGGCCTCCCAAAGTGCTGGGATTACAGGCATGAGCCACCATGCCTGGCCTGAGTTTTTTATATATAGTCTTTAAATCTCCATTCAGTTCTAAATATTTTTCAATTTTCATTATGTCTTTTTTTAACTGGGGTTTGTTGGAGGTGTTTTCAAATTTCTAAACATGTATTTCTTTCCTAGTTATCTTTTTGTTATTTTAAACTTAATTGACTTTAAGAGTGTGTAGTGATTCTGGTCTTTTAAAAAAAACAATTGTCTCAATGTTTCTGTTTACCTCATTCTTAAAAAATAGTTTTGTTGAGTTTGCAGTTTATGTTGGCAGCTTCTTGTCTCAACACACTGATGATACTCCACTGTCTTCTTGCTTTCATTGTTGATATCAAGAAGTAAGCTGACCATTCAATTACTGCTTCTGTGAAATTTGTCTTTTTTTCTCCTTTGGCCAATTTTAGGAATTCTTTGTCTTTGATATTATTAATATCACTACGATGTGTCTACTTGTAGATAATTTTCTATCCTGCTTTTGATTCATTAGACTTCTACTTACAGATTTGTGTTCTTTATCAGTTCTGGAAATTTCTCAGCTATTAATTTGTTCAGTGGACCAGTCCTTCATTCTACCACCTTCTGGAACTCCAAGTAGTTGTATGTTAGACCATCTAATCTACTCATCTCCTCTTTCATATTTTCTTTTTCTGTTTTTTTTGAGACAGAGTCTTGCTCTGTTGCCCAGGCTGGAGTACAATGGTGCAGTCTCAGCTCACTGTACCTCTGCCTCCCAGGTTCAAGCAATTCTTCCGCCTCAGCCTCCTGAGTAGCTGGGATTACAGGTGCTTGCCACCACGCCTGGCTAATTTTGTATTTTTAGTAGAGATGGGGTTTCTCCATGTTGGTCAGGCTGGTCTCGAACTCCCGACCTCAGATGATCCACCCGCCTAAGCCTCCCAAAGTGCTGGGATTACAGGCGTGAGCTACCATGCCCGGCCTCCTCTTTCATATTTTCTATCTCATTGTCTGCAATGAGTTCATTAGTTCATTGTTCATTAATTCTGTCTAACACTATGTCTATGCTGCTTTTTACTTCAAATGTTGAGTTTTAGCTTTCATTTATTTTTTCTTATTGAAAGTTCTGTATGGTGTTTTCATATTCGCTCTATTCTGCTTTTATTTTCAAGCTGCTTCTATGTGTCCTTTGACACAGCATTCCATATCTGTGTTTTTCAGAGATTTTTCCTCCTCTTGCCATCACCATTTTCAAAATGCTAAAGGTTCTCTTGTTCCTTTCTGTCCAGAGGGATTTATTCCTGATTGGTTGTTATGTGCATTATAGCCTTTTTCAGGCCTAGCCTTATGTGGGAGGGACGCCTGTTAATTTTTCAACATTAGGCAGACTGGGTTTTACTACCTGTCCCCTGTGGCAGCCATCAAAGTGGAAGCATGAGGTCTCTGGGGTTTAGTCAGAATCCCTCGAGAATAAGTAGATTAGTAAATTGCTTACTCTTTTTGAGTTCCTGGTTTTGCTTTGGTTTGGGCTCTATGGAATCATCCCTCTTATTTTACTAGCCCATCCATGCATTTAAAAAGACTTGATACGTTATCCAGACCTTTATCTTAGAGTTTGAAGCGAAGTTTTAGTTTCCTTCTTTTTTACCAGCCTCCAGATTGTGTTTTCTGCATCTCTTTTCTCGCTTTCCCTCTTTTCTTTCTGGATTTGCTACTAGTGGGACTGATGTTATGGCCATTGTCACCGTCACCACATGAGAACACTCTTGCTTCAGAGTTGTGAACCTTCTGTTTAGAGTGTGTGTTGTCATCTTCAGGTGATTTGGAAATGTTTTCATTCATGCTTCTGCTCTCAAAGACATCTGAGGCTCTTTTGTGTTTTTGACGGGGCAGGTGGGGAGGGAAGGGCCACTGGTGTTGGGCTCTTGCAGCTTATTGAGAGATTGTTGAAAGTCTGGGTGATTAATTAGTGTTACTGCATTCATAATGTACTGAAAAATTAAGGCTCACTTGTTATTTATATAAAAAGTAAATAAAAATGCTTTTTAAATCATTGTGTTTTTCAGTAATAGATGGTTTACACTTGGAGTACTGTAGTTGATCCCAGCAGATAATAGTAAGTTTAGTAATCTCCACTATTTGGGCTGACCGGTTCCAGATACCACTCCGCTGTTCGTTTCTGCTGTATATTTAGCCACCCCTAGTCTCCTTCAGCAGACAATTGAGGAATTGTTTGTGTTTGAGTCGTGTCACAGTTAAACAGTGGGCCTCTTAGAAGAGTACAGTGTGTTTTGGGCACACTTTTTGTTTCGCCTACTTGTTTTTCACTGAAAAGTAGCAAAAAGTGTTTGAACAGATTTAGAGAGAGGCACTACTTACCGTTTGCTCTTTTTTTTGTAAAACATTTGTTACTAATGGTTAAGCAAAACATAAGGTAAATCAGTATTTTACCATGAATTATTTTTATACCTAATATTGTTTTTGGCTAACATATAAGATGAACATAAGGAACCTTATCACAGTCTCATTTGGTACTTTTCAGGCATTTGACACTGTCAGAAGTAGCAATTCACACACAAAAAATACTGTTTTATGGAAAAGAGAACTGAAGGTCATGAATCAGCTGTGAGGGGAAAAGTATAAATCTTTCTAAATATATTTTTGTTAATATGGGGTAGTTGATGTTGTCTAGTGCTGTTTGATTAAGAAAACAAGTTCAGGCCGGGCACAGTGGCTCATGCTTGTAATCCCAGCACTTTGGGAGGCCGAGGTGGGTGGATCACCTGAGGTTAGGAGTTTGAGACCAGCCTGACCAATATAGTGAAACCCCATCTCTACTCAAAAATACAAAAATTAGCCAGACGTGGTGGTATCCGCCTCCCAGCTACTTGGGAGGCTGAGACAGGAGAATTGCTTGAATCCAGGAGGCAGAGGTTGCAGTGAGCCAAGATCACGCCACTGCACTCCAGCCTGGGCGACAGAATCTCAAAAAAAAGCAAAACAAAACAACAAATTCAATTAGCCGGGCGTGGTGGCGCACTCCTGTAATCCCAGCTACTCGGGAGGCTGAGGCAGGAGAATCCAGGAGGTAGAGGTTACAGTGAGCCGAGATCACGCCACTGCACTCCAGCCTGGGGACAGAACGAGACTCCGTCTCAAAAAAAAACAACAACAAAAAAAATCTGTGGACACAGTATGGTACCATAAATCAGTAAACATTGCCTAATACATGCACAGTACCTGCCTTTGAATTGCTTGAGGTCTTAGGTAGGAAAAGCAGATAAAATAACTAAGGGTTTATAGTTGTAATTCATTGCCGAAGAATGGCCCAGTATATTAGCATAAGTAAGAAAAAAGAGCCTGAGATTCAGAGTTGTTAGGAAACTTGAGTTCTAGTCTTAGTTCTGTTAGTAATTAGATTTATGTGCCTTTAGGCTAACCACTTACTTTTGGGTAAGTTGGTTTTTTTTCACATATAAAACAAGGCAGATGGACTAGATGACTTAATCCTTTACAATCTTAATACCGTGTGAATTTGTTTTCCTGTGTAACTCGAGTTTAGAGGATGTGAGGGATCTTTTTGGGCAAGGACTGACCTCAGGAAGGAAATCATTTTCACTAAGCCTTGAAAGATTTGGTTGGGTAGATAAAAGGAAAAAGAAAAGCTAAGAATGCAGAAATAGATACATAAAAATTATTTAGGCCAGGAAAGTCTTTGGTGTATTTGAGGAATATGAGGCATAGGATTGACATGGTGCAGTCACGTGAGATGAAATTGACTCAGCAGTTCAGAGTTCAGTGGCCCTAATGCCAGAGTTTAGTCCTCAGTCTGTAGGTTATGGGCAGCTAGTCAGGACGATGTGTAGCCAGGGAGAGTCATAGCACTTGTTACCTTTAGTCAACTTCTGCATGATAATTAAGGTATATTTAACCAATTCTGACTTCTTTCTCCCAACAAAAAAACTGAACACAGAGAAACCCTCTAGGGAGCTAGTTATTAGGTGGTGCAAAAGTAATTGCAGTTTTTGTCATTACTTGTAATAGAAACTACTTTTGCACCAACCTAATAGAATTTCTTCCACTCAACAACAACTGAAAACATAGAGACTGAGAGAAATCCAGAGATGATGTGGTAAATCCCCAGCTAAGCAGCTGGTAGAGGCATCAGTATTGTATCCAAGGCCATGCTTATATTTATTGAGATCTAGTCACTCGTGGTATATTAGAATTGTGGCGGCATGGTTGTCATCTTGAATAATTTCATTAGGGACATCTCTGACTCAAGTTTACTATTAAATTAGGGTTTTGTTCAGGCAAGTATTGCTTAAAGGGTACGTCATGTTAATTGGAATTTCCTTGAGACAGCTCATTCAGCATGATAGTGTGTAGTCACTAAAAAGTTCCGAAAAACACAACGCTGTGGTTCCTCTTTAGTTCTATTAGACTGAGTATGTACAGAACATAAGTTACTGCATAGTATACTAACATTGAACAGTAGAAAAAATATTTATTTATTTATTTTTTTTGAGACGGAATCTCACTCTGTGGCCCAGGCTGGAGTGCAGTGGTACGATCTCGGCTCACTGCAAGCTCCGCCTCCCGGGTTCAAGCAATTCTCCTGCCTCAGCCTCCCGAGTAGCTGGGACTACAGGCGCCCACCACCACAACCGGCTAATTTTTGTATTTTTAGTAGAGACGGGGTTTCACCATGTTGGCCAGGATGGTCTCGATCTCTTGACCTTGTGATCTGCCCGCCTCAGCTTCCCAAAGTGCTGAGATTACAGGCGTGAGCCACCGAAGGATAACCAAAATGTAAGGAAAGGCTGTGTTCTGAAAGTTGCTGTGTAATGTCATTTGCTTAGAATTTAGCATTGCTTCTCATGAATGAAAATGTCTCTCTGGCTCAGCCGTGAAAAAGCCTTCTGACCTTTCTGATACTGTAATGAAAAGCAGTATGGTAAATACCATTGCATGCATTTGGGTTTTCAACATGTTAAGGATTGAAGAGGTTTCTGTACCCTAGCTTGGAAATCTAGCTGTTGCTTATTTGTTCTGTTAAAATGTGTTCTGTCGAGTATAAGATGAAATAAATATGAGTCTTCTGCCACCTCCGTAAAACATCAAAGCATTTGGGGTATGTAGGTGAAGGGTAAAGATGGAGTACGCTTTAAAGCAGCAGTTCTCAAAGTGTGGTCTGCAATACCGTGGGGGAGTCTGATGTCAAAACCTTTTTCCGAATATTCTTAACACATTATTTGCTTTCACACTGTGTTGACGTACGGATTGATGGGGCAAAAGCAGAAGTGGGTCAAATTGCTCGTTACTTTAACCCATACCAAGGCCATGGCCAAGTGCTTGCAGTAAAGTGCCAGTTTCACGTAATAATATACTTAATGGAACAATAAAGTTATTGATCAAGTATTCTATATAGCAAAATGGGAAGTACTCATAAGGTACTTCTGCGTACCAAAGTATGAACCGTTGTCTTGGAGATAACCACTTCTGCAAGAGAGCTAAACTAGCCCTCTGTTTCATGCAACACCTTTTTTTATTTGGAAGAACAACTGACCCACAAATTCCGGTTGTTCAGACTTCGTATTTTGCGGACATTTCCTCAAAAATAGTGACAGAATTTGTTGCTACTGACACAATTTAGGCTTTCAATCAAAAATCAGAGTTTTAGAAAACTTGTATCCACTATGTTGATTTTAGCAGTTTCTCAGCGCTTGACTTACTCTGATGACATAGATGGTGATATTAATGAATGTGGTTTTATTTTTACTGCATAACGAGATGTGTCAACATTGGGAGTATCTTCAAAACCCAGGGAACCAATATTTTCCAAAAACCAATTCATGACATTGTAAAACTTCTGCATGGGTAACAGATTCATTCAAAATTCAAGAGAGTCAATTGGTTTAATGTAATAGGGTACAAGAAGATTCATTGCTGTGATTTCAGATTCCACAATGAACCTTTTAGGAAGGTCAGGTTTAGTGTAATACCAAAGAAGAAAATCCACAATTATGTGAAAGCTGTTAAAATGCTCCTCCGTTTTCAGGTGGGTATCTGCGTAAGACAAGATTTTTTTCGTAAATTTCAGCTAAAACAACTCAGCACAACAGATTGAATGCAGAAGCAGATCTGATCATCTGGCTGTCTTCTACCACACCAGACATGAAAAAGACTTGCAGAAATGTCAAAGAATATCAGTCTTCTCACTCAACTTATTTTGTTTTGGAAAATAGTCATTTTTCATAAAAATGTATGACATGTAATGGGTTTGTTGTTATTTTTAAATGAATTATTTAAACAACTTGGTTTTTTTTGTTTTGTTTTGTATTTTTGAGGCAGATTCTCACTCTGTCACCCAGGCTGGAGTGCAGTGGCATGATCTTGGCTCACTGCAACTTCCGCCTCCCAGGTTCAAGCTATTCTCCTGCCTCAGCCGCCCGAGTAGCTGGGACTACAGACACGCGCCACCACGCCCAGCTAATTTTTAAATTTTTAGTATAGACGGGGTTTCAGCATGTTGGCCAGGCTGGTCTCGAACTCCTGACCTCAAGTAATCCCCCGACCTTGGCCTCCCAAAGTGCTGAGATTACAGGCGCGAGCCAACATGCCCAGCCAAAAACTTGTTTTAATTTCTCATACAGTAAGTATATATAAACATAACCCTCATCAACAAAAACTCTTTGGACTCTTCATTAATGTTGACAAGTGTAAAGGGTCTTGTGGCCAAAATGTTTTGAGAACGGCTACTTTGAAGGAGCTGAGTAGCTTTAATATGCCTGTGTTGAGAGCAGATACCAATAAAGGGAATGCCTGACCTAACTTAAAACAAGTACGTGTTGGTCTTTCTCCAGGTTATGAACTCTTACAGAGGACTCAGGTCGTCTTTTATTTTCTCTAATGTCTAGCACAGAGTCTTATAAATAGTAATGATGATAACAATTGCAGCAGCTTTTAATCTTTGTTAGCTCATTTAATCTTTATTCTGTGAGTAGATAGTGAGATATAATTTGCATAACCAAAAATTCACCATTTTAAAGTGTACAATTGAGTGGTTTTAGTGTATTCACAGGGCTGTGCAGCCATCTCCACTGTCTTCATACCGGAACATTTGCGTCCCCCAGAGAAACTTGATACCCATTAGGAGCCCCATCTCATTTCCCTCACTCCTTAGCAACCACTCACTAATCAGCCGTGTTTATGAACTAAATTCCTCTCTGTCTCTGTGGATGCCCCTGTTCCGGACATTTCATATGAAACGGAATCCTACAATATGTGGCCTTTTATGGCTTTTTTCACTTAGTGTTCGAGGGTCATCCATGTTGCAGCGTGTATCGGTACTTCTTTTTGCGGCCAAACAATATTCCATCTTATGGATACACCACGTTTTGTGTATCCGTTCATCAGTTGATGGATATTTGGGTTGTGTCTATCTTTTGGCTGTTATGAATGCTTCTGTGAACATTCATACAAAGTTTTTGCGTGAACATGTTTTTCAGTTCTCTTGGCTATATACCTGGGAGTGGAATTGCGGGGTCGCATAGTAGCTCTATATTTAATTTTTGAGGAACTTACTAACTCCCTTTTTAATAGAGTTTTTATTAGGGGATAATTTTAGATTTACAGATGAATTGCACAGATAGTAGATTTCCTGTATACCTATCACCCGGCTTCCTCTAATGTTAACATCTTACATAACCGTGATACGTATGTCAAAACAAAGCAGCCAACATTGGTACCTCACTGTTAACCAAATTCTAGGATTTATTTGGATTCTACTAGTTGTTTCACCAGTGCCCCTTTTCTGTTCCAGGATCCAATCCAGGGTGTCACGTTGCGTTTATGGTTGTGTCTCCTCTGATCTGTTACAGTTTCTCAGTCTTGTTTTTCGTGTCCTTGACAGTTTGGAGGAATGTAGTGGTCAGGAGTTTTGTAGCATATCCCTCAACTGGGGTTTGTCTGGTGTTTTTCTCGTGATTAGGCTGGGGCTGTGGGTTTGGGGGAAGAATACCACAGAGGTGAAGTGTGCGTCCCATCACATTAGATTAGGGGATAAGTAATATTGTCATGACTTGTCGCTGGTGATGTTAACTGTGGTCACTTGGTTAATAAGGCATGTTTGCCAGGTTTTTTCACTGCAAAGTTATTTTTCCCTTGCCATACACTGTTCTTTGGAAGTGAGTCACTAAGTCCTGCCTTCACTCAAGAGGAGACAAGGATTAAGCTGAAACTCCTAGAGGGAGACATATTTACCTATTTTATTTGCAATTCTTCTGTAAGAAAGATTTGTTCCTTTTCTCCCATTTATTTACTTATTCATTTATTTATGTCAGTATGGAATAACATACTTATTTGATACTTTGGGTCGTAATCTAATAGTATACTAATTTGCTCAAATCATCCCAGCATTGGCCTATGGAAAATCTTTCCTGTGTCCCTTTGGCATTTCCTCATCCTTTTAAAGTGCTCCCTTGCCTTCTGACACTACAGCGTGCTCTGGGCTCATCTTCCATTTTCCCTTTCCCATGCCTAGAGTCAGCCATTCCTTCAAGGAGTCATGAGACGTGGTGAAGTGTAAGTCGGTGGTGGAAACAGGATTCCATGCAAAGCAGTCTGATTCTGGAACATATGCTGTTAACCAAAAAACTGGATAACATGCAGCTGATTTATTATTATTATTGAAGGTGCATTGGCAGTTTCTACTCACATTCCATCTATGTGGGAGCCTTGAGGAAAGAATTTATAGCACTTTACACTAATTATTGTGCCCTGTTTTTGTTGTTGTTGTTTTTTGTTTTGTTTTTGAGATGATGTCTCACTCTGTTACCCACGCTGGAGTACAATGGCATGATCTCAGCTCTGCAACCTCTGCCTCCCGGGCTCAAGTGATTCCTCTGCCTCAGCCTCCCGAGTAGCTGGGACTACAGGCGTGCGCCACCACACCTGACTAATTTTTGTATTTTTCGTAGAGACAGGGTTTTACCATGTTGCCCAAGTTGGTCTCGAACTCATGACCCCAAGCAATCCGCCCACCTTGGCCTCCTAAAGTGTGGCGTGAGCCACCGCGCCCAGCCGCAATGTTGTTACTAAGCTTTGTCTTTCTTCTGTCTGTAGCAAGACAGGGCCCCTCTTGTAATGCACACTGGTAGTAGCCCATACTTAGGAATAGCCAGCTGCATGCTGCTTGCATCCTACCCCAAAACAAAACAAATCCCGCATGATGTCATGAGCTGGTTAGGAAGAATCATTTTAGGGCATGTTGTCAGCACTGCCTTAGATCCTGCCCTCATTTCTTCCTTAGACCAGACAGCCTTTTGCACACAAAGATAGAGATCTTTTTCACTCCCTTTTCCCAGCCCTTCTCTAGCTAGTTACCCCCTCTCTTAGTCTGTTTTCATGCTGCTGATAAAGACAAACCTGAGACCGGGCCATTTACAGAAGAAAGAGGTTTAATTGGACTTACATTTCCATGTGGCTGGGGAAGCCTCACAATCATGGCGGAAGGCGAGGAGGAGCAAGTCACGTCTTACGTGGATGGTGGCAGGCAAAGAGAGAGCTTGTGCAGGGAAACACTTCTTTTTAAAACCATCAGATCACGTGAGATGTACTCCCTATCAGGAGAACAGCACAGGAAAGACTTGCCCTCATAATTCATTTACCTCCCACCAGGTCCCTTCCATAACATGTGGGAATTCAAGATGAGATTTGGGTGGGGATGCAGCCAAACCATATCACTCCCAGAAATGTTTTTGCTCCTTTACCTTTTTTTATTCTTTCTCTTTTGTAGAATGAAAAAATAATCATTTTGAGAGCGAAAATATACCATAGTGCTAGTGACACACTCCCATCAAGGAAAATAAAAGCTGTAAGATTTGGTATAAGCTTCTCAAATTTTTTTATTTTATTTTATTTTATTTTTTTGAGACAGAGTCTTGCTTTGTCGCCAGGCTGGCATGCAGTGGCGCAATCTCGGCTCACTGCAGGCTCTGCCTCCCGGGTTCACGCCATTCTCCTGCCTCAGCCTCCCAGGTAGCTGGGACTACAGGCGCCTGCCACCACACCTGGCTAACTTTTTGTGTGTTTAGTAGAGACGGGGTTTCACCATGTTAGCCAGGATGGTCTCGATCTCCTGACCTCGTGATCCACCCGCCTCGGCCTCCCAAAGTGCTGAGATTACAGGCATGAGCCATCGTGCCCAGCTAATCTTCTCAACTTATACCTACTTTTCTTCAGGTATAAGCATTCAAATGAAATAAAAAATTTGTTTTTAAGTTCTGAACAGTTAGCATTCTTTTCATTGTATATATGCAAGGTTTTGTTTGCTTAAATGCATTAAATAATCTTAGAATCAAATTAAGATCCAGTTACCAATGAAAACCATGTTTAGTGGGAAAATATGTTGTTTTCTAACATATGGTTTTGTATCAGAACTCATATGTATAAGTTACGGATCCTCTCCCTTTTACTGCTGATTTCAAGTATGTGTCATCTACTTTTTTAAAGACTTAAACCTAGAAGTATGGGTAGCAGGGTTGAAGTTTTCACTGAATTAGCCATGTAGCTAAGACAGATTACCCAACTGCCTGGACAGGGCATTTACAGGTGTCACAGAACCTGAGGGATGTGGCCACACTCAGCCTTTCAGCCATGCTCTGTGTTTAATTTTGTCAGTATATCCAGATTCGTCAAGCTCCTTTGTGATTATCTGCAAAACTCAAAAGACTAATGTGTGTAAATTAGGATGTCAAATTTTCAGAGACCAAATACTGTATCAGCAGTGCATTGTTTCAAGATTCCTTGGCCAGGCGTGGGGGCTCACGCCTATAATCTCAGCAATTTGGGTGGATAAGGCGGGTGGATAATTTGAGATCAGGAATTCGAGACCAGCCTGGGCAACGTAGTGAAACCTCATCTCTACGAAAAATACAAAGATTAGGCTGGATGCCGTGGCTCACACCTATAATCCCAGCACTGTGGGAGGCCAAGGTGGGCGGATCACCTGAGTTCAGGAGTTCGAGACCAGCCTGGCCAACATGGTGAAACCCCGTCTCTACTAAAAATACAAAAAAATTAGCCGAAAGTGGTGGCATGCGGCTGTAATTCCACCTACTCAGGAGGCTGAGGCAGGAGGATTGCTTGAACCTGGGAGGTAGAGGTTGCAGTGAGCTGAGATCACGCCACTGCACTCCAGCCTGGGTGACAGAGCGAGACTCCATCTTGAAAATAAATAAGAATTTTTTAGGAAAGTTACTGTGAAGGCTAAGTTGTAACTACAAGGTTGGAGTGAAATCAGATTGGAGGGGTGCTGTTTGATACCCTTAATAGCCAAGCATCTGTCTCTGCTCTAGAGGTGCACCTCCCCAAGATATCCTATAATTTGCTGGTCAGAACATATTTTTCCTCTTTGGAATTAAAAAAAAAAAAAAAGATTTCATGTTGTCTGTCTTTCTATTGAGAAGGTCTCTTAGAATCCATTGATTAGACCAGTAGCTTTTGGTAGTACCATGATGTTTCCATTTGACTTTTCAAACATTTTTCAGCTGACCATTACCAGCTTTGTTGGGGGTAAACTCAAGAGAGTTACATCTTTTACACATTGATTTTTCCAGATTTTGCAAATGTCACTATAAATGGATAATATTTTCTAATTGGGAGTTGTGGCAGGGGTAGTTATTACTGTTTTTTGCTTGTTCGTGCTATTTTTTACTTTGTTACTAATTGTATTTTTTCCAATTCCAGGCCATTTCATAATTCTGAATCATGTCTGATAACGGAGAACTGGAAGATAAGCCTCCAGCACCTCCTGTGCGAATGAGCAGCACCATCTTTAGCACTGGAGGCAAAGACCCTTTGTCAGCCAATCACAGTTTGAAACCTTTGCCCTCTGTTCCAGAAGAGAAAAAGCCCAGGCATAAAATCATCTCCATATTCTCAGGCACAGAGAAAGGTAAATAGCGCTTCTGGCTTTCAGAGTCTCAGCATTGGTTTATTATTGTATGTTACCCATGTTGATAACTTTTATGGTGAGAACATTAAAACAGATCATGAAAACAATCGGTGCTAATATACAGGCACTATTAAAAAGACTAGTTTATTTTAAATTGTGATTTTTAAAAGAATAAAATGTAAATTTGTTTCTCACCCTGCTTGTTATGGCCAATGAATTTCTATATTCATCTCCTTTGTTTTCTGAGACCTTGGCCATATTTTAATGAGATTTGTGACACTTGAGGGAGACCTGCTATTATAAGAATGGTGAGATAGGGCCCACAGTCCCCTGTCTGAAATCCCTGGAGCCAACTGTGTTTTGGAATTAAGAGTTTTTGTGATTCTTGAGTAGTAAATACTGTCTTTTACCAGGTGTTCTATAATGCCCTCAGAAGTGTCGGAGGCAGCCTCAGTACTCACAGACTGATGTGTCCTCAGCAAAATATATGTCTAGTTCAGGGTTTCTCAACCTCAACACTATTGACATCTTGGAGCCAAATAATTTGTTGTTGCAGGGACCTATCCCCTGGGGGCAAAATTACTCCAATTAAGAATCACTGGGCCAGACACAGTGGCTCGTGCCTGTAATCCCAGCTACTTGGGAGGCTGAGGCAGGAGAATCACTTGAATACGGGAGGTGGAGGTTACAGTGAGCCAAGATCGTGGCACCGCACTCCAGCCTGGGGAACAGGGTGAGACTCTCTCAAAAAAAAAAAAAAAAAGTGTACGTATATATATGTGTATATAAAACATCCTTGTACCTACCACCCAGCCTAGAATTTTATCAGTACCTCTGAAGTCCCCATCTGCTATACCCCATCCTAACCTTCTCTTCGTCCCCAATATCCACCATTCTGCATTTTTATTGTAATTTTATAACATATCTAGTCACCCTCAAATATGTATGGTTTAGGCATGCCTGTTTGGGAACCTTTTATGAATGGAATTATGCTGTCTGCATTTTTTCCACATACTTTTCACTCAGCTTTATGCTTTTGAGACTTGTTGATGTATGTGGTGTAGTTTGTTCACTTTCACTGCTGTGTATTGCTACACTGTAAATATACTGCAGTTTATTTGGCCAGTCTCCTATCTGTAGACATTTGGGTTGTTTTCATGAATAGTGTTGCTATGGATAATGTTGAATGTACATCTTACTGGGTGTAGGGCAAAGCTTCTCAAACTTCAGGTGATCTGTTAGTTTAGTTCTTGAATTGCTAATTAGAATCACCTGGGAAGCTTAATAAATCTGTGTTCAAACTCCATTTCATTCCAGTTGAATCAGCAATCAGCATCTTTAGGGGCTTACCCTGGCATTGTTTTTGGTTTTGTTTTTAATTTTTTTTTTCTTTTTTTTTTTTTTAATTATACTTTAAGTTTTAGGGTACATGTGCACATTGTGCAGGTTAGTTACATATGTATACATGTGCCATGCTGGTGCGCTGCACCCACTAACTCGTCATCTAGCATTAGGTATATCTCCCAATGCTATCCCTCCCCCCTCCCCCCACCCCACCACAGTCCCCAGAGTGTGATATTCCCCTTCCTGTGTCCATGTGATCTCATTGTTCAATTCCCACCTATGAGTGAGAATATGCAGTGTTTGGTTTTTTGTTCTTGCGATAGTTTACTGAGAATGATGATTTCCAATTTCATCCATGTCCCTACAAAGGACATGAACTCATCATTTTTTATGGCTGCATAGTATTCCATGGTGTATATGTGCCACATTTTCTTAATCCAGTCTATCATTGTTGGACATTTAGGTTGGTTCCAAGTCTTTGCTATTGTGAATAATGCCGCAATAAACATACGTGTGCATGTGTCTTTATAGCAGCATGATTTATAGTCATTTGGGTATATACCCAGTAATGGGATGGCTGGGTCAAATGGTATTGCTAGTTCTAGATCCCTGAGGAATCGCCACACTGACTTCCACAATGGTTGAACTAGTTTACAGTCCCACCAACAATGTAAAAGTGTTCCTATTTCTCCACATCCTCTCCAGCACCTGTTGTTTCCTGACTTTTTAATGATTGCCATTCTAACTGGTGTGAGATGGTATCTCATTGTGGTTTTGATTTGCATTTCTCTGATGGCCAGTGAAAAATATGGAACGCTTCACGAATTTGCGTGTCATCCTTGCGCAGGGGCCATGCTAATCTTCTCTGTATCGTTCGTATTTTAGTATATGTGCTGCTGAAGCGAGCACTGTTTTTAATTTTTTAAATACCCCAGATGATAATGATGTGCAGCTCATATTAAAAACCAATGCATTGGTGGGTTATGAACTCTGTATAGTGGACGACACTAAATGCGCTAGAATAATATAATCAGAGTGTTGTGCACACAGTGAAAACGTTGTCTTATGAAACAGTTTGTTTTAGTTATGTGTATACTGAGTCAGGATATAAAATGTATTTCTTGGTGTGGGTCCTGACCAAAGATTTAAAGGTCATTCAGAGATGTATATTTAGGATTAGAATTGCTGGGTTACAGGCTGTTCCCGTGTGTGACTTGACTAGGTTTGTCAGATTGTTTTCTAAAAGTTTTTAGTGTACATTCTCACCCACAGAAGATGAGCGTTCCCATTGCTGAGCACCCTCAGCAACTCTGGGAGGGGTGAAATACTAGCTCATTGTGTTTTAAATTGGCCTTTCCCTGATTACTCAAAAAACTGAGCATCTTTTCGGGTTAATTGACCATTCTTGTGTGCTTTCTGTGAAATATCTGTTCAAGAGAAAGAAATATCTGTTCACTATCTATATTAGTCTGTTTTCACACTGCTGATAAAGACATACCTGAGACTGGGTAATTTATACAAGAAAAAGGGTTTATTGGACTTACAGTTTCACATGGCTGGGGAGGCCTCACAATTATGGCGGAAGGCAAGGAGGAGCAAGTCGCGTCCTACGTGGATGACAGCAGGCAACGAGAGAGAGCTTGTGCAGGGAAACTCCCCCTTTTAAAACCAGGAGATCTTGTGAAGACCTGCCCATGATTCAGTTACCTCCTACTGGGTCTCTCCCACAACACATGAGAATTCAAGATGAGATTTGGGTGGGGACACAGCCAAACCATATCAAGGTCTTTAATCCATTTTTCTACTTGGTGGTTAGCTTTTTCGTTTTCTATTAATAAACATTCCTTGTAGTCTATACACTAATCCTTTGCCAGTTATATGATGTTAAAGATAGTATTCCAGGATGTGATTTGCCTTCTCACCCTTTCAGTAGTATATTTTAATGAATAGAAGTTATTAATTTGATATGGTGGATTTGATCAATTTCTCTTTTTTTTTTTTTTGAGATGGAGTCTCATTCTGTCACCCAGGCTGGAGTCTAGTGGCTCAATCTCAGCTCTCTGCAACCTCCGCCCCCCGGGTTCAATCAATTCTCCTGCCTCAGCCTCCCGAGTAGCTGGGATTACAGGCGCCTGCCACCGCGCCCGGCTAATTTTTGTATTTTTAGTAGAGACAGGGTTTCATCATGTTGGCCAGGCTGGTCTTGAACTTCTGACCTTGTGATCCACCTGCCTCAGCCTCCCAAAGTGCTGAGATTACAGGCGTGAGCCACCGTGCCTGTCTTCAATTTCTCTTTTTTGTGGTTCGAGCTTTTTGTTTTTTAAGAAATTTTTGTCTTACTTGAGGTCATAAAGACATTTTCCTGTATTTTTTCTATAGCTTGCCTTTTACACTTTAAATCTTTGAGCTAGCTGGATTTTATTTTTGTATATTTGTGAAAAGATTCACTTTCACTTTTTTCTTTAAACTTGGATAGTATCCCAGACCCATTTATTGAGTCTTCTATTTCCCCACTGACCTAGACCACCATTATTTGTCAGGTTTCCATGTGAGAGTCTGTTTCTGTGTTCTCTGCTTTATTCCATTAGGTTATTTGTCTGTACCTGAGCTAATAGTAGCACCCTGTCTTGATTACTATATCTTACAATCTTTTTTTTTTTTTCTTTGAGGCAGGGTCTCACTCTGTGACCCAGGCTGGAGTGCAGTGATATGTCTTGGATCATTGCAACCTCCACCTCCCAGATTCAAGTGATCCTCCTGCCTCAGCCTTCCAAGTAGTTGGGACTACAGGTGCACAACACCATGCCCAACTAATTTTTGTATTTTTTGTAGAGACAGGCTCTCATATGTTGCCCAGGCTGGTCTCAAACTCCTGAGCTCAAACGATCTGCCAGCCTTGGCCTCCCAAAGTGCTGGGATTACAGGCGCGAGCCACCACACCTGGCTCTTATATTGATTGTTAATGCCTGATGGAACAAATCTCTTAACCAGATTCTTCTTCAGAATCCTGTTAATTGCTTTGGCTTTTTGCATCTTTCTATAAATTTTAGAATCTGTTTATCATGTACTTTAACAGAAAAAAAAACCTGTGGCTACTTTGATTAGAATTGTATAGACTTTGGGCCGGGCACCGTGGCTTATGCCTGTAATCTCAGCACTTTGGGAGGCCGAGGCCGGCAGATCACGAGGTCAGGAGAGCGAGACCATCCTGGCTAACAAGGTGAAACGCCATCTCTACTAAAAATACAAAAATTAGCCAGGCATGGTGGCAGGTGCCTGTAGTCCCAGCTACTCTGGAGGCTGAGGCAGGAGAATGGTGTGGACCCGGGAGGCAGAGCTTGCAGTGAGCCTTGATTGCGCCACTGCACTCCAGCCTGGGCGACAGAGCGAGACTCCGTCTCAGAAAAAAAAAAAAAAAAAGAATTGTATAGACTTTGTAGGGCAAATAGGGGAGAATTGCATCCACCTTTGTAGCTGAGGGTGGGGAATCTGCAGAGCCTTTGTGTAGCCTGTTTACAGGGAAGTTTAGTTGCATGTCGTTTTCAGTCTCAGAGAGACAGAGATGTGTGGAATGTTTGGAGGGTAGGATGCTTCTTGATTCCTCCTGTTTCCTGGAGCTCTACCTCCCTTTCCTCTTACACTTATTGCTCCTACCTGGAAGCTGAAACACAGCCCAGTCACTGGGGCCCAGCTTTCGGCATTAGGAATGAGGGAGAACCTTGTGTGTGTTTACACATCCGTGCTTTTGTAAACATAGAAATAACCTGCTCTGTTGCTCTCACTGGATTATCCCGTTCATCACCCTAGTGGTTGCCTCTGGGTCCGCTCATTTCCACCCACCTTGCTTCTAGTTTCAGCCACCTGCAGCAGTTTGCAGAAGCATTTTCCCACTGACATCCTAACTGCTGCTTCTCTCGCTAGTCTTATGCTAATTGCTTTTCATTCTGGAGCATTCCTCGTGGATTTTATTCTGTGAAACACTCGGTTTTGGTGTAGAAGGGAGAGAACTTCAGTATGTGCTCAGTACATCATCTTGAAACAGAAGAGTCTAAAAGGCAAACAATTGTATTTCCATTTTTTAAAAATCATAATGACCTTAAGACTTTTGCCATCTCTAATGTAAGGCCTGATCTAGAGATAATTCATTTTATTCCACTAAAAAATTTACATCCCTTACTGCTTTCCTTACTAAAAAAACAGCTAATATTTTTATAAAAAGAAAATAAAGACTCTAGGATGTTTTCACTTATTAATTACTGGTTTTAATTGGTATCACCAAAAAACTCGAAAATTATCCTTTTGGATCGTGCCGTTTTAAGGCAACTTGACAGAACAGATCTTTTTTCCATGCTTGCTAATGTGTGTACTATGTGAATAATCAGAGATGAGTGATAAAGCAGATAGTGTCCCTGCTCCCACGACAGCAATCTCAAACCATGGTATAGAATTACAAGCCATGAAAAGTGGTACAGAGGCAGTGCACAACATGTGTCCAATCTGCAGTGTCTGGGAAGGCTTCCTAAGGAGGTCATAATAGAGCTGAAGACTGCAGGATGGGTAAGGGAAACGATAGTTACAAAGTGTGTTCCATGCCCGGGAAGAGCCTGTTTCAGTGGCCCACCTACAGGAGGGATCAGAGCACATCCATGGAGCTGAGTGCCGCCCGGTGTTACTGGAAAGCAGAGAGGGAAGGACAGAGAATTACAGCAGGGTGTATGTAGGCACTACAGACAGCAGAAGAGGCTGAAGAGGTAGGCAGTGACCAGGTCATAAAGGGCCTTGTATTCTATGCTACAGAGCTCACATTTTATCCTGTTTCCTGGGGAACCATTACAGATTTTTAATCAGGGGAAAGACCTGGCCATCTCTCTGTTTTAGTTAGGAGAGAATGGTAGGTATATAGAAAAAAGGTTTTGTTCGAAGTGTGAGAGTGAAGTTGGAAACTAGTTAGGAGGCTTTTGCTGTAGCCCAAGTGAGAAATGGCCTAACTAGTCTACTAGTTTAAATAATGAAAATGTCAGTGAGCCATTTGACTTTTTAAAATAAGCTTTATTCATACAGCTAGAGTTGGATGGTATTGTCTTTATTAACTAAAGCAATTTTCACATCTAGCTATTCAACCTATAAGCACCTTCACTTCTGGTTGGTTATGACTTAGATCTGTAAACAACCTTTCTGATTAAAAAAATGAATTCTGAGATTAATAATAGTAACCCATACTTCTCTGCCTATTTCCTAGAGGAGTGGTCCCCAACCTTTTTGACACTGGGGTAATGGTTTCATGGAAAACAATTTTTCTTTTTTCTTTTTTGTTTCATCTTGTTGCCCAGGCTGGAATGCAATGGCGTGGTCTCAGCTCACTGCAACCTCCGCCTCCTGGGTACAAGCAATTCCCCTGCCTCAGCCTCCCGAGTAGCTGGGACTAGAGGTGCACGCCACCACGCCCAGCTAATTTTTTTGTATTTTTAGTAGAGACAGGGTTTCACCATGTTGACCAGGCTGGTCTCGAACTCCTGACCTCAGGTGATCTGCTCACCTCAGCCTCCCAAAGTGCCGGGATTACAGGCGTGAGCCACCGTGCCTGGCCGGAAAACAATTTTTCTGTGGGGCTGACGGGGGGGTGGTTTCGGTATGAAACTCTTCCACCTCAGATCATCAGACATTAGTTAGATTCTCATAAGGAGTGTGCAGCCTAGATCCCTCTCATGCGCAGTTCACAATAGGGTTTGCGCTCCTATGGGGATCTAATGCTGCCACTGATCTGACAGGAGGTGGCGCTCAGGCGGTGGTGCTCACTCCCCACTGCTCACCTCCTGCTGTGCCACCCAGTTCCTAACCGGCCATGGACCTGTACTGGTCCACGGCCCTGGGGCTGGGGACACCTTTCCTAGAGAATTCTCTGCTGTGTCATGGAATTTGAAGCTATTACACATCAAAAGAACAAAGGAGGAATTACTTATGGTTAGACTAGAAACAGAAGAGTCTTCCTTTTAAACAGATAAAGGGTTTCTTTTATTTGTTTGTTTAGCCTTAGATGTAGCTTGAAAGCAGTCTAAAAGGTAGTGCCCTAGAGAATGTGACAGTAGCCTACTTAGGATTCTTTTCAGTACCTTTTGTCAACATGTGACTCAGGGTCTCTGCCTCTTGGCTGAAGGTTGCTGCCTGCCTGCTGCTGCTGTTTTGTTGTCTAATGAAGTTGGAAAATGATTCTAAGAATCTTTTTTTCTCCTAGGACACTAGTTAAATTGTTTATTTTATTAAAATAAGTTTTTTGCCCTGGTCTATTACTTCCCATCAAGTGATCTGGTTGCCTGGTGAACCTCCCGTAGATGGTTGTGTTTGATAAGCAGAAGTGGGAAGTTGACCTCCTTTCATTTTATGAAACATGAACAGATTTCAGATTTCTCCAAAGCTAAGGTGTAACATGTAGGGGTCCGTCCCGCAGACCCTGACCCAATGACGGATGAATAACTTACACTGACACAGATGTTATGCTTGTCAGTCCAGCTGAGAGTCCGGGCCACTTACAGACTCCCAGGAGAGTGCTGTAAAGCGTTGCAACCATCGGCCTCAACTAGCCAAGGAAGCTTGCATTTATTTAGTATAGATTAATTGACAAAGGCTTGAGTCAACACACCTGTGGGTAATTCACCTGGTCGCCCCCACCCTGGAGAGGGCCATCTTGCCCACCAATGATCAAAGGTTAGTCTTAGGACCACATGAGTAAACAAGCTCTTTAGATAAACTACTTTATATTCCTTTGTATCTGTACCTTAAGCTCTCTGGCTCCTGAAAAGAGAATCTGGCTACCTTCAGCCAAACTTTGAAGCTATGCAAAACTCCCCGGCCTTCCAAGCAGGTTTGCTTTTTTCTATTCCTATAATTTCTTCTGCCATCCTGACTGAACCCCCACATCTACATAAATTTATTGTGATTGGCCCTCTATTTCTGGGCTTCTAGAGTCGTTATATAAGAGTATTAAAGACATTCTGTTGGTATAGCAATATCTTTCCAGCACATTGTTCAATTCCAGACATGCTTTAGTATCTTTTTGTTTTAGACACTGTTTCTAATATCCTTTCCTTTTCCCATTGAGACTATTAAAATACAGAGAGTACCTGTATGTGTGTTATGTAAAAACAAATGGCATTGAACAGATTTTTAGGATTTTATGTTTATTTTGAATGATCTAATGTGGCTCTATCTCAAGTTCTGCTTAATCGTTTTTGTGTTTTTCCTTTAACTTTTTACTCTATACTCCTATCATATATGAAACTTTAATATATTTCTCTAAACTCTTAACGTTTCCAAGTTGAAGAATATGACTAGGCCTTAGACACAACAGGAACCAGGAATACTCTTGCTAGATATGTTATCTCTCACCCTTCTTTTTATATTTTTTTCTTATTTTATATTTCTTATTTCAGAATGTTTTTTCTTTATGTGTTAAGAAATATAATTCCTGGGCCGGGCGTGGTGGCTCACGCCTGTAATCCCAGCACTTTGGGAGGCCGAGGCAGGTGGATCACGAGGTCAGGAGATCAAGACCATCCTGGCTAACAAGGTGAAACCCCGTCTCTACTAAAAATACAAAAAGTTAGCCAGGCGTGGTGGCGGGCCCCTGTAGTCCCAGCTACTCGGGAGGCTGAGGCAGGAGAATGGCGGGAACCCAGGAGGCGGAGCTTGCAGTGGAGCTGTGATCGCGCCACCGCACTCCAACCTGGGCGACAGAGCGAGACTCCGTCAAAAAAAAAAAAAAAGAAATAGAATTCCTGGGCTCAGTTTCTTACAACTTCAGACACTAGTGATAGACTGATTCTCAGGGAGCCGAGTCTGGCTTAGCTGCTCAGGTGGCTGCCCCTGCACCAGTTGCTGGAGGGTGTGTGGGAAGCTGTGCTGACCTGGCTTGAGTTAGGTGCCCACCTCGGACCAGTCATCTGTGACCATAGTCGTGTAAGAAAATGGCATCTTTCCCAACTATCTGCATAGAGGAAAGGTGAGGGAAGTTTCCAAAAGTAGGATGCTGAGCAGATTTTTTTAAAAGAAAGAACACATATAATCATAGTACATTAAATTGTAAACTACTAGTTTATCGTTAACTAATAAATAATTTCTCCTGTATGTAGGGTATTCCGTTAGAAGCCAAGGGACATAAAGAAATGTTGAGTGCACGACCTCAAATTACTCAAAGTCTAGTGAAAATTGAGAGAGAGGTAATTTATGATAGACGTATTAATAATTGTGTTTCAGTAAAGAGAATCCAGGCTTAACAGTTTCCTTTCCCTCTGCTCCTGTCCATAACCAGCATTCCCTTCCCTCTCACTGTGACCAGATCTCTTTTAAGTTACATGCCTAGAGAGGAGATGGACATTTGAGCATAAATCCCTCATTACTAGTTAAATAAGTATTATTGTGTTTCCTACCAATACTAAACTAGTAGTATCTTTGTAAACAAAGAAGAGCATACGGTAACATTTCCAGTCTTATATGTATAGACTTATCAAACAGCATGATTTTTAACTCTTTGATATTAGAAGAATCTTCTGGTTAAACACAGCATGTTGACCACATACAGAAGCATTCTATTTACTCTCCCTCCCAAGACCCAACTAAAATGACAGAAAAAAATATATATATATACACACACACACACACGGTCAAAGAGAAAAAGAGAGGAGACAGTATTGTGAAAGAGGCTTCAGTACACATTTGGAAGGCAGAAGTGGTGGAAAATTGGCACCTGACTCAGCAGGACAGAGAAACACATAACCTAAGCGTTTGCAGAGGGGAATCTGTGAGAAGGGAAACAAGTTTCCCTTGTAGAAATTCTGGAAGCTCAAGATTTAGAGGCACACGACACTGTGTCGGAGTGGGGGTAGGATGCACTACACATGCTGAGGAGAAGGGGGATTAGTTGAAAATCAACATCGAAAGTGTCAAAGGCCCCCCAGGACTCCTCCTTTACACCCCACACATCCATGTAAGTGTTATCCCCATCCTCCGGAAGGAAAAAAGAATAAACTGGGATTTACATTTATTTCCAGAGAATTTAAACCACAGAAGCCTCTGTTCTTATCAGGGGAGTCAGGAAAAGTTGAAGCACCAGAATAAAGCAGGTGACTTCATGCAAGTCAGCATTTTCAACTCCTTTCCCCATCCTGCTTTCAGAATACCTGCAGCCTGACTCACAGCCTCAGACAGGAGATTGGAAGATTTTTCTCTGGATAAACAATGGCCTGGGGAAAAAAATACTTTAGGTACCTTGCATGCATGCTGTCCTTATCTTTAGTGTTAAGGTTGGCTTAACTCCCAGTTAGCTTTTTAATACTTTCTATATGAGTAGACAGTACAGGATCACCCGACATTTATGAAAAACCCTTTATAAATGAGAGGGAGAGTCCAAAACAATAGGGATAAAAACAGGAACTTAAAAGAAATAGACAGTGTAAGGAGAAAAAAAACCCCAAACTGCAGCCTGTGCATACACACATACTGTATAATCGTCAAAGAGAGGAGATAGAGGAATCCATGAAACAAGAAAAGAGTTCGCAGAGAAAGAATGATCAGAGAACAATGGAAAACAGTTCTTGGAATATCAACATTTAAAATTACCAAAACAAACAAAAGATAGCAATAGAAAGAAGAGTGGAAGATAATCAAGAAAATTCTCCCTGCTGGAGCGGTGGCTCACACCTGTAATCCCAGCACTTTGGGAAGCCAAGGTGGGTGGATCACTTGAGATCAGAAGTTCGAAACCAGCCTGGTCAACATGGTGAAATCCCATCTCTACTAAAAATACAAAAATTAGCTGGGCTCGGTGGCGTACACCTGTAATCCCAGCTACTCAGGAGGCTGAGGCAGGAGAATCACTTGAACCTGGGAGGCGGAGGTTGCAGTGAGCCAAGATTGCGCCATTGCACTCCAGCCTGGGCAACAGTGCAAGACTCTGTCTCAAATAAAAAAAGAAAAGAAAATTCTCTCAAAGAATTAAACAGAAATACAAAGATGGAAAATATGAGAGAAAAGATAACAGTTAAAAGATCTGACTAATGACAATTAAGTGGAGGACATAGTGACTTCTAGCTCTAAAATGGTGGTGTAGAAGCACACTGGCTTCACTCACTCTGCCCTGCCACCACAGAAAACCAAGAACATACAGCACTAAGATGATCACCAGCAACATCCAAGAACTCAGATATGAGAAGGAGACAGTTCCCAGGGGCACAGAGAAATGAAAGAACTCCAGGCATGCTGTAAGAATCGGACTTCCGTATCTGCAACACCCGTTCCCCCTGTCCGCCTGGCGCCAAGTGTGGGAAAATCTCCCCCAATTCACAGTGTCTACACAGGAAAAAGTGAGATTGAAGAAGACAGCCACCTTCTCCACCATCTTGGGTTCCCTGGCAGGAGGCCTGTCCCTGCCTTAGCCCACAGGTGGCATAGGGAGAGCTACCCTGAGGACAGCCAGAGGCAGAGGAGGGAGGCGGGATTACTGTTCCCAGCCTTGGAAACCCTGCTGTATAACTCAGCCAAAGGGGATGCCAAATAGAGCAGCTGTTCAGCAACACCATGTTGTAGGAGGTTTATTCCACAGGACCCTTGGCAGGAACCCTGAGCCACCCTTCCTGTACTGCTACCAGAATATCCCCTTGGGGACTCCTCTCTCCCATTTAGGATGGGCTGCACTCTGCTAGAACCCAGGCAAACCTGGGCTTATGGTGCCATTTAGTGCTGGAAAGGAGGCAGCAACCTAGGCTCGGGGGTGAGGAAAAGAAAGAAAATCAACAGGTAAATTACAGAGACTCTCTAAGCAAACATATCCAATAAAAACCAGACTAAATATCCTCATACTTCTTTGAAAAATGGCTTAAAATTTTCCAAATTTAATGAAAACTGTAAACCCACAGATTCAAGAAATTTAACAACATTTGAGCATAGGAAACATGAAAACTACACCAAGGCTTACTGTAATCAAATTGTTTAAAACCAGTGTTAGGGCTGGGCACAGTGGCTCATGCCTCCAATCCTAGGATTTTGGGAGGCCAGTGTGGGAGGATCACTTGAGCCCAGGAGTTCAAGACCAGCCTGGGCAACATGGCAAAATCCCATCTCTACAAAAAAAAAAAAAGAAAAAAAGAAAAATTATCTGGGCAGGGTGGTGTGCACCTGTACTCCCAGGACTTGGTAGGCTGAGGCAGGAGGATTGCTTGAGCCCAGAGGTTGAGGCCGCAGTGAGCTGAGATCGCACCACTGCACTCCGGCCTGGGTGTCAGAGCGAGACCCTGTTTCAAACCAAAAACAACAACAACAACAAAAACACAGTGATAGAGAAAATTTTAAAAGCTACCAGAAAAAAAATGAAAGACTCATTATATATATAGGACGAAGATAGAGTGATCCCAGACTTTATTTAAGTAACAGTGCAAGCCAGAAGACAAGGGACAACATCTTTAAAGTATTTAAAGGGAAAAAAATCTATCAGCCTAGAATTCTATACTATTGAAAGTGTCTTTCCAAAACAAAGGAGGACACAGAATTTTAAATGCGTAAAAGCTGAACGAGTGTATCGTCAGCAGACAGACTACAAAAAATGTTAAACTAAGCCCTTCAGGCAGAAGGAAGGTGATGTCAGATGGAAATGTGGACTCACAGGAAAGAATGAAAAGCACTGGATGTGGCACCTCCGTGGTTCTGGACCTTTTTGGCACCCGGGATTGGTTTCGCGGAAGGTAGTTTTTCCACAGACCCAGTGGTGCGGGGGAATGGTTTCGAGATGAAACTGTTCCATCTGAGGTCATCAGACATTAGATTCTCATAAGAAGCGCACAACCTGGATCCCTCGCGTGTGCAGTCCACAGTAGGGCTCACGCTATGCGGTCCAACGCGGCTGCTGATCTGACAGGAGGCGGAGCTCGGGCGGTGATGCTCACTCACCTGCCACTCAGTTCCTGCCGTGCAGCCGGTTCCTAACAAGCCTCGGACTCTGGTACCAGTTTGTGGCCTGGGGGCTGGGGACCCTTGTGGTATGCGTTCTTTCTTATCTAAATTTCTTTGAAAGATAATTGTTTTGAGTTTTTAAGAAAACAAAGCACTGATACACCTTGTAACATGGATGAATCCCAAAAACATTAAGTAACAAAAGTCATTCGCAAAAGACTGCATATTGTTTGGTCCCATTTATATTAATGAGCAGAACAGGCAAAAGCTATGGAGACAAAGTAGATTGGTGGTTGCCTGAGGTTTGGGGTGGGGCAAGGGCTGAAATGGGGAGTCATTGCCATTAGGTGCAAGGTTTCTTCTGGGTATGATAAAAATGTTCTAAAGTTAGATTGTGATTATGATTGCACAACTCTAAATATACTAAAACCCATTGAAGTGTACAATTTCAACAGGTGAACATGATAGTATATGAAGAGTTCTAGCTTAAGAAACAACTGAGTAGATAAAAGGGAATCTCAAAATACTTAGTCCAGAAGAAGGCAGAAAAGATTGATAAAAACAGACCTACCTACAAGAAATCTACTTTAAAACATAAAGCCACAAAATAGGCCAAAATGAAAGGATACAAAAAGGTGTGTTAACAATTAAAAGAAACCTGGACTGGCTGTATAAACAGCAGACAAACTAGAGTTTAGAGCTAAAAAATACTATCAGTGATAATAAGGAAGGTTGTTATTTCGTGATAATAGGACCAGTTCATTAAGATGATATAATAGAACTAAATATTTATGTACCTAATAACAGCTTCAAAATTCACAAAGCAAAAACTGAGAGGATTTCAAGAAGAAACAGACAAATTCAATTATAATCGGAGATTCCAAAACTTCTCTCAGTAATTGGTAGAAAAAGTAGACATAAAATCGCTAAGGATATAAAAAATTTGAACGTAACTATCAGCCAACTTGACCTAATAGACGTTTATAGAACACTCCACACAATAACAGTAGAATATACATTCTCTTTAAAGACACATGAGGTCTACTTTTAAAAATTCTCAAAAATGTTGGCCAGGCACGGTGGCTCATACCTGCAATCTCAGCACTTTGTGAGGCTGAGGCGGGCAGATCACTTGAGGTCAGGAGTTCGAGACCGGCCTGGCCAACATGGTGAAACCGTCTTTACTAATTATACAAAAATTAGCTGGGCGTGGTGGCAGGCGCATATAATCCCAGCTACTTGGGAGACTGAGGCAGGAGAATCGTTTGAACCTGGGAGGCAGAGGCTGCAGTGAGCTGAGGTTGCGCCACTGCACACCAGCCTGGGCGACAGAGCGAGACTCCCTCTCAAAATAATAGGCTGGGCGCAGTGGCTCATGCCTGTAATCCCAGCACTTTGCGAGGCCGAAGTGGGTGGATCATGAGGTCAGGAGATCAAGACCAACCTGACCAACATGGTGAAACCCTGTCTCTACTAAAAATACAAAAATTAGCCAGGCGTGGTCGTGGGCACCTGTAATCCCAGCTACTTGGGAGGCTGAGGCATAGAATTGCTTGAACCCAGGAGGCGGAGGTTGCAGTGAACCAAGATTGTGCCACTGCACTCCAGCCTGGGCAACAAAGCAAGACTCTGTCTCAAAAAAAAATAAAATAAATAAAGGATTTAAATTATATAAAGTGTGTTCTTGTGATCATAATATAATTCAATTAGAAATCAGTCACAAGAAGGTCTCTGGAAATATTTGGAAAGTAAAGAAAGCACTTCACAAATAAAAAGATATTTAGAAAATATATTAAGCCGAATGAAAATTCAAAACATCAATATTTGTAGGATACTGCTAAAGCAGTACTTAGTGGAAAACTTATAGTATTAAACACCATATTAGAAGAAAAGATTTTAAATCAATGACTTTAGCTAAGCCATCTTAATAAACTAGAAGGGAAGAGCAGATGAAATCCAAAGTAAGTAGAAGAAAGGAAATAATAAAAAGCAAAATGGGAATAAATGAAATAGGGGGAAAAAGCAGCAGAGAAAATCACTGCAACCAAAAGTAGATTCATTTAGAATGTCAATAAAATGGATAAACCTATAGCCAGACTGACAGGGGGCAGTGGATGGGGAGGAGAGACACATTACCAATATTGAGAATGAGAGAGGTGGTGGCACCCCTACAGATTTTACAGATATTAAAAAGATGGTATGAACAAATATGTACCAACTTTTTTTTCTTTTCTCTTTTTTTTTTTGGAGAAGGAGTCTTGCTTTGTTGCCCAGGCTGGAGTACAGTGGTGCGATCTTGGCTCACTGCAACTGCCACCTCCCAGGTTCAAGTGATTCTCCTGCCTCAGCCTCCCTAGTAGGTGGGATTATAGGCATGCATCACCACGCCCGGCTAATTATTGTATTTTTAGTAGAGACGAGACTTCACCATGTTGGCCAAGCTGGTCTTGAACTCCTTAGCTCAAGTGATCCCTCTGCCTCAGCCTCCCAAAGTGCTAGGATTATAGGCATGAGCCACTGTGCCTGGCCAATGTTAAATTCTTAGCAAGATTTTAGCAGTTGGAATCCAGCAGTGTATAAAAAGGGTAATACATCATGACCAAGTGGATTTCGTTGGTTTAAGTTTGAAAATCGATGGATGTTATTTACTGTATTAACACAATAGAAAGGATGAGCCATGGGTTTGTCTCAATACATGGAGAAAAGGCATTTGACGGAACCCAGTATCCATTGCTGATAGAAGTGTTCAGCAAACTTGGAATAGAAGAGAATGCCCTTTAGCCTCATAAAGGACATCTTTTAAAAACCTACCATTGGCATTAAACTTAAGGGTAAAAAGAATGACAGTTTTTCCTCTTAGATCAGGAAAAATAAAATTTCTCTTCATCCACTTTTATTCAACAATGTACTGAAGGGTCTAGCTAATGTAGTAAGGCAAAAAAAAATTTTTTTTAAGAAAACGAATAAAAGGAATCCAGATTGGAAAGAAGTAAACTTGATTTTATTCACCGACAACATGATTGAATTTTTGTAGCAAAATTGTATATTTACAAAAATACTAGTGGAAGTAAGTGTAATAAGGTTTCAGGATATAAGATTAGTATTCAAGAAACAACTGTGTTTCTTTATGGCTGCAATGAATGATTAAAAAGGGAATTTTAAAACTGCCATTTGCAATAGTATCAAAACCAGGAAATACCGAGGCAGAAATCTGATGAAACAGTGTGCGCTCTGCACTGATAACTACTGCTCTGTTTCTAAGTGTCCCCCAGAGTTCATGTGTTAGAAACTGAAGCCCCAGTAAGAGAGTGTTGAGACATGGGACCTTCAAGAGGCGACGCGAGTGCTCACGGATGGACTCATGTCTTTATTGTGGATGCGAGTTGCTTATAAAAGCCAGTTTGGCCCTCTCCTGCTCTCTTTCTTGCAATGTGATGCCTTCGGCTACGTTATGACACAACAAGAAGGACCCTCACCAGGTGTGGCTTCTTGGTCCTTGACCTGGAGGACTTTCCAGCCTCCAGGAGAACTGTGAGCCAAATGAACTTTTATTTTTTTGAGGCAGTCTCACGCTGTGACTCAGGCTGGGGAGTGCAGTGACACAATCTCGGCTCACTGCAGCCTCCACCTCCTGGGTTCAAGCAATTCTTGTGCCGCTATACTCGGCTGAAGTTTGCATTTTAGATACAGTGTTTTGCCATGTTGGCCAGATGGGTCTTGAACTCCTGGCCTTATGTGATCTGCCCACCTCAGTCTCCCAAAGTGCCAGGATTACAGGCATGAGCTACTGCTCGCAGCCAGCTTCTAATGTTTATATTAATCAATTGCATAGGCAGTGGTATTCTGATAAAGCGTACCGAACGGATGAAGACAACTGCAAACACTGCTGAGAGAAATTTTTAAAGACCTAAATAAATGAAAAGATTTGCTGTTTTCATGGATCAGAAAACTCGGTGTTGTTAAGAAATCAAGAAATAAATTCTCAGCCAGGTGCAGTGGCTCATGTCTGTAATCCCAGCACTTTGGCAAGCCAAAGCAGATGGATCGCTTGAGGCCAGGAGTTTGAGACCAGCCTGGCCAACATGGTGAAACCCCATCTCTACCAGAAATTATAAAAATCAGCCTGGTATGATGGTGCATGCCTGTAATCCCAGCTCCTCAGGAGGCTGAGGTAGGAGAATTGCTTGAACCCGGGAGGCAGAGGTTGCAGTGAGCTGAGATCACGCCACTGCACTCCAGCCTGGGCGACAGAATGAGACTCCCTGTTAAAAAAGAAAAAGAAAGAAAGAAAGAAATTCTCCTTAAAATTCATCTGTATGTACATTCATTCCAATTCTAGTCAGAATTCCAACAGGCTTTCTGTAGAAATTAATAAGCTTATTCTAAAATTAATAGGGAAATGCAGAGGACCTCGATTACCCAAACAGCTTTGACAAAAGAAAAAGAAGACTTATGTGACATAGTTTCAATGCGTATTACAAAATGGCAATAAAATAATCAAGGCAGTCTGATAGTGGCATAAAGGCAGACAAACAGATAATTGCAACAGAGCAGAGCCTTCAGAGATAGACTCACACGTGTACAGACAATTGACTTTCAACAGTGGCTCCAAACAGGAACCAAAATGGCGCTGGCCTTCTAAATGGCAACACTGGAAATGCTGAGGGTTCCAACTTATATATATATAAAATTAGTGAAGAACTATCACTAAAGGGATAAATCAAGAGGAAAACGTAAGATCCAGAAAATAGATTCCAGCACATACAGGGCAGGAGTGAAGGGATGTCATGGACGGTAACTGCAGGAAGCGTAGGCATGAGCTACTGCAGATTAGAGCAGGAGGAGCTGAGAGGGAGGGGGTAGGGGGAAGGAACTGATGTGTTGGAGTTCACAGAGAACATTATTGATAGGTGTGTGGCAGAAATGTTGCAGAAATAATTTACAATCGGACCATAGAAAAACTGCATAGTTTTAAAATGTGGCAATTAGTAACTCCACTAAAAAAGGATTATGCTTGCACAAAAAAGGAGAGGTGGTTTTGTCAACTACTTGTCTTGACAGTGTGTATTATCTGCGGAGTCACAGTAATGCAAATCTGACTTCCTGATGAATGTAGCTGAGTGGAAATGGGGTTTGCTGTGTTTGCTGTCCACATTGCTCAGCATCTGAGATGTAGCCCTTTGTGAGAGAGCTGGTGCCCGAAGGGGGTGTCTCTTCTGCCTGTGCTCTGTTACTCAGGCCTGCCGTTGGTCACTCCATGTGCCTCCTCAGTGTTTGGTTGTGTCCAGCCCTACTCTATGGCAGGACAGTCTGCTTTACTTCATTTACTAGTTTCCTATCAGCCAGTTTTTAGGGGAAATCTTTTCTAGAATAACTTTGATTCTAGTGTGTTTTCTAGAATAACTTTGATCCTAATATGTTTTAGGAAAAATATAAACATAATATGCCGGGCATGCGGTGGCTCACATCTGTAATCTCAGCACTTTGGGAGGCCAAGGCAGGTGGATCAGGAGTTTGAGACCAGCCTGATCAACATGATGAAACCCTGTCTCTACTAAAAATACAAAAATTAGCCGGGCATGGTGGTGGGCACCTGTAATCCCAGCTACTTGGGAGACTGAGGCAGGAGGATGGCTTGAACCCGGGAAGCAGAGGTTGCAGTCAGCTGAGATTGCACCACTGCACTCCAGCCTGGGCAACAAGAGCGAAACTCCATTTAAAAAAACAAAAGACAAAAAATAAAATTATAAGTGCCTTTACTAGTCTTGTTTAAATAGGCTGATTCTTTCTCTTTTTTTCTAATGCCCCCTAGGAAGTAAAAAGAAAGAAAAGGAACGGCCAGAAATTTCTCCTCCATCTGATTTTGAGCACACCATCCATGTTGGCTTTGATGCTGTTACTGGAGAATTCACTGTAAGTTAACCTAGTTCGGGCCCATTTATAACGTTTAAAATAGCACTCAAACATTTTCCTTCATTATTAAATTTGAAATTAACATTTCAGGCCAGGTGCGGTGGCACACGCCTGTAATCCCAGCACTTTGGGAGGCCAAGGCTGGCAGATCATTTGAGGTCAGGAGTTCGAGACCAGTGTGGCCAACATGGTGAAACCCCATCCCTACTAAAAATACAAGAAAATTAGCCAAGCGTGGGGGTGTATGCCTGTAATTCCAACTACTCAGGAGGCTGAGGCAGGGGAATCATTTGAACCTCGGAGATGGAGGTTGCAGTGAACAGAGACTGTGCCATTGCACTCCAGCCTGGGCAAGAAGAGTGAAACTCCGTCTCAAAAAAAGGGAAATTAACATTTCTATCTATACGTTAACTATGAATTCTTACTGCTTTTTGCTTTTTATAAAAGTGTTAGTGGTTGGATATATCGTTTTCCTAGAGAGCAGAGCCTATTAATTATAGTTATGCAAAACAGACTTAGAAAAAATAGACCTAGGCCGGGCGCGGTGGCTCACGCCTGTGTAATCCCAGCACTTTGGGAGGCCGAGGCGGGTGGATCACGAGGTCAGGAGATTGAAACTATCCTGGCTAACATGGTGAAACCCCGTCTCTACTAAAAATACAAAAAATTAGCCAGGCGTGGTGGCGGGCACCTGTAGTCCCAGCCACTCTGGAGGCTGAGGCAGGAGAATGGCCTGAACCCGGGAGGTGGAGCTTGCAGTGAGCCGAGATCTCGCACGACTGCACTCCAGCCTGGGTGACAGAGTGAGACTCTGTCTCAAAAAAAGAAAAAAGAAAAAATAGACCTTTAGAAAATGAGATCTTTTAAAATTTACTCAAACCTACACTCAAAAGATTGGTTTGTTTTGTGTATTTTGTCATTTATCTCTGGAAATTAATTTTATTGCATCAATTTAAACCATAACTAATTTCTGAATATCTTCTTGTTAGGGCATGCCAGAACAGTGGGCTCGATTACTACAGACCTCCAATATCACCAAACTAGAGCAAAAGAAGAATCCTCAGGCTGTGCTGGATGTCCTAAAGTTCTACGACTCCAACACAGTGAAGCAGAAATATCTGAGCTTTACTCCTCCTGGTAAGAGAGTGGCATAAGGCTGGATCAGATGGAGATTTGTGAAGCACTTCTAGATAAAAAGATTACTCCTGGAAAAATGAAAAGCTAAACTATGGTTCTTGTTGATAACGGTTTTTCCCTGGATAGATTCTACCTTTTGTAGACTGATCCAGGGCAGTTCTGAAGCATAATTTGGATCTGTGAATTATAGTAATCTCATAGGTTTGCCAGAAACGGGAGTTGATGGATATTTTGGCTTTTTGTTTATTTGGTTTTTTCTCCTCATTGCTGTGTTTTTGTTTTCATTTTTCACTCTTCACTGCTTTTAAATGACTTCCAGCAATCAAAGGAAAAGACGCTGGTTGATAGACATGTTCATACTAGAAACACATTTATTGTTAGCGGGACAAGAGGAGGTTGAACTAAAAAATGTTTAGGTCCACTCAAAAAATTGAAACTCGCAAGTGTGCAGATAATAGAATATATGTATTTTAATATATAAAACAGATAAATCATATACGAAAGAAGCGTTAGAACTAAAAGGATTTATACCTCAGAAATGGAATATCTGGAATATCATCTACATAGTCACAGTAATGCAAATTTTACTTTCTGGATGAATATAGCTGGATGGAAATGGGGTTTGATGTACTTTGTTTTCCAAGTTGCTCAGTATCTGAGATATACCGTTAACCTATGAGAGAACCAGTGAATTGGTATATAGTGTAAGAGTTGGTGTAGTGGATTTTTAAAAATAGTTTTTGTTCAAATAAAGATCAGAATAAAGTTCATACAACGCAGTTGGTTGATACATCTCTTGAATCTCTTTTGATCTTTAGGCTTCCCCTCCCACACACTGGTTCATGCTGTCTTTTCTTGACGTTTATTTATTACAGAAACAAGATCATTTGTCCTGTTTCCCTCAGTTTAGATTTTGCTCACTACATCCTCAGGATGTCATTTTTCAATATGTTTGTCTGTCTCTGAAGTCATACATGTGGTTTTCAAAAGCAATATGATGGAGCTAAAATCGTACATGTGGTTTTAATTGATTTTACTTACTGTTTGCATCCTCACAGAAACAAAGGCCATGTGCAAGGGAGAAATAGAAATCTTTTTCAAGTGATCTTGACCTTTTTTTGTTGAGTCTAGTACACCGTTAGGAAAAGGTCACACTTGCTCCTAGAACTTTTCTATCAACCAGTAAGTCTGTGTGTAAATTAGTAATTTTTTTGAAAAACCAATGTTTGACCACAAAATGGTAGCTTATTTTCACCTAGTACACATACATACATATATGTGTGTGCGCACGCGCGTGCGTGTGTGTGTTTTGTTTTGTTTTTGAGCTGGAGTTTACTCTGTTGCCCAGGCTGGAGTGCAGTGGCACAATCTCGGCTTGCCAGAACCCCCGCCTCCCGGGTTCAAGCAATTCTCCTGCCTCAGCCTCCTGAGTAGCTGAGATTACAAGCATGCGCCGCCACACCTGGCTAATTTTGTATTTTTAGTAGAGACTGGGTTTCTCCATGTTGGTCAGGCTGGTCTTGAACTCCCAACCTCAGGTGATCTGCCTGTCTCTCGGCCTCCCAAAGTGCTAGGATTACAGGCATGAGCCACCGCGCCCGGCCTGTGCGTATGTAATATGTGATATGTGTGTGTGTGTGTGATATATATATATATATATACACATATATATATATATATACACACACACATATACACACACACACACATATATGTATGTCTCTGGGCATTTTTAAAAGAAAAACAAAACAATGTCAGAATTTTACTTTGCACAATTGTCATTGTCTTAATTGTTGCATTAAGTTCCTCAGTCAGCAGTTTTCTGGAGAAAGTATCTTTATCAATAAATTTGTTTTGTTTTAATAAATACAGATTGATAGGTATACTTTCAAACTAAATTTTGATAGCTTTATTGAGGTATAATTTACATGCAATACAATTCACCCATTTTAAATATATAATTCACTGATTTTTACTAAATTTATAGTTTCATGTAGATTTCAGATTTCTTACCTTGGTCTTATATAAATTCTTATTTGACTACTTGCGTGTTCATTTTTCTCAAGAGTTAATTCAACTTGAAATCAGTTTAAGAACATTTCACTTTCTCTGCTTTTTTTTTTTCCTTTTATCATATAAAAGTGCTGTTTCTTGAATTGCTAATGTTATGTTTTGTTTCATATTCAGAGAAAGATGGCTTTCCTTCTGGAACACCAGCAGTAAGTTAATTATATTATTTCTTGTATCTCTTGTTCTAATTTAGGTTACCCAAGACAAATCTCAGTTTTTATTTTGCTTTCTAAAATAAATTACAGCCATCAGAGGTAAATAACTACTCAATAGGTGTTTTTAGCTAGCCACCTGATTAGTTGAAGAAGCCGTATTAAATAGAAATTCCTTGATGTGATACTTAATGTAACTAAAATTTATAATGACCTTCAGAACAGTTTAGTTAGTTTTGGTAATGTTAACATATACAAACGTGAACACAAAGAACTTGCTAGCATATATTTTCCTCTCCATCCCTCAGTTTTCCTTCTGGTACTATTTTACTGAATATAGACTGTGGAAAGGTGCTGAACAGTTGAACCTTGTCAGTCTTCAGAGTCATCTGAAACTTAAGTTATCGCATAAACACAGTCAGTTTTTGGAAACAGTCGTTTTATTTGCAGTTTCTCAATTGGGAGGAAACAGTCTCCTGGAGTTTTATTTTTTTATATTTTATTTTATTTTATTTATTTATTTATTTTATTTTTATTTTTTTTGAGTTAGAGTCTCGCTCTGTCGCCCAGGCTGGAGTGCAGTGGCGCAATCTTGGCTCACTGCACGCACCGTCTTCTGGGTTCACTCCATTCTCCTGCCTCAGCCTCCCGAGTAGCTGGGACTACAGGCGCCTGCCACCACGACCAGCTAATTTTTTGTGTTTTTAGTAGAGACGGGGTTTTACCGTGTTAGCCAGGATGGTCTTGATCTCCTGACCTTGTGATCCACCCACCTCGGCCTCCCAAAGTGCTGGGATTACAGACGTGAGCCACCATGCCCGGCCCCAAATCTGACTGTTTTAAATGTCACCAGATGTCTCTGACATAACAAAGCCCAGAGGATCTTTGATTTTGGTCTTAACAAGTAACATTGTTTACTTTCAGGACATTGTATATGTATGCTTAGGGTAACTTTATTAAAATATTTGGTACTCACCATATATATATATTTCATAAACTTTTTCATGATTCATAGAATCGCCTTATTATGTTAGATTATAATTCTATTGAGTTATCTAAGAGCTAATGAGATTTAGTGGTTTTGAAATGAGCTATCAAAGAAGCAAACTTTTTGAAGTACGTTCATAAAGGGCGATAGTCGCATTTAAGCCTATTGGACTTGTTTTCCTTACTTTGCTCATCATCAATGCAGCTGAATGCCAAGGGAACAGAAGCACCCGCAGTAGTGACAGAGGAGGAGGATGATGATGAAGAGACTGCTCCTCCCGTTATTGCCCCGCGACCGGATCATACGAAATCAGTGAGTCTCCATCGGTGATCTAGGCTGTGTGTGTGCACGTGTGTTTTAAAAAATAGCAGAGTTTGTATTTGACTTTCAGTGATTGCTTTTAAAAAGCCCTCAAGTTTAAAATCGTTTAGTATGGGGAAATTTAACCAAGAAATCTGTACCCAAAGACCACTCACCTAAAACTAGTTTTCTGAAGATTAAAATGTGATGTCTTTAAAAGTTAACGCACTCACCTCACTGGGCTTTTTTCTTTGTATAGTACACCTTTTCCAGAGGGTTCGTCTATTTCCCAAGCTTTCTCTGTTTATCTCAATGTAGATGACGACTAAATCTAAAACTTAGAGCTTTCCTCTTACCCAGATTATGCATTTTAATCTCCCATTTTACACTACTCTCAGCGCCTTGCTGTCATTCAAAAGGCAGTTGAGAATGAAATTCCTAACCAGGTAAGGGAGAATTTTAAAAATGATGACCTTAAATGGAGCCAGGAAGAGAGGAATGACTGCGGTTACCATTCTGCTCCCTTCAGTACTGCAGGTAGAGTGTGCGGAAGGTGCTGTGCCGTGGAATGGGCTGTGCTCCTGGCACAGCGGGCAGGCAGAGCTCAGGAGACAGCCTCTGGATGCCAAGCTGATGGCAGAGGACTCCGTTTTCTTTAGCCTTTCAATCTGGCTGTTTGAAATGGGTGGTAGGCATTATAATTGTGTAAAAACTTTCATGGGAATTAATAATAGTTATTTCAACATCAAGGTTTCTGTTCTTTTGCATTTTACTTACCATTTGTAGTAAAAACATGATTTTTAAACCGTGCTTTTTGATACATTGTTATACCATTTTAGACCTGGTCACACTTAAATTTCATTCATGGACCTGCTGTTTTACTAGACAGCTTTTCAAATATATTCATGCTATGCCAAAGAAAAATGTTTCACATTTATTCTTCTTAGTTACACATCTTTTATATCTGAAAATAGTGTTCTCATTATTTAGAACAATGGAAAAGACTACTTAGTTCAGGTTAAAAATCAAAGAACTGAATTAGTTTGCCAGGAAGAATATCTGAAAACATTATTCCTCAAACCTTGGTAATGAACTGTGTCTCCACAGATTTACACACGGTCTGTAATTGACCCTGTTCCTGCACCAGTTGGTGATTCACATGTTGATGGTGCTGCCAAGTCTTTAGACAAACAGAAAAAGAAGACTAAGATGACAGATGAAGAGATTATGGAGAAATTAAGTATGTTATCTACATTTTACATCATTGTTAAATTGTTCACGGCTCTTAAAACATTTGGCCCAGATGGATTTTAACTTACACTTTACATTGTGACTTAAAGTATAAAGAATAAATTGTTTCCTTATAGCAACAGTAGCTTCAATTACAATCTGGTGATGTCACCAGGTTCACCCCTAAATCCCAGCACTAGGTCAGGAGATCAAGACCAGCCTGGCCAACATGGTGAAACCCCGTCTCTACTAAAAATACAAAAATTAGCTGGATGTGCTGGCATGTGCCTGTAATCCCAGCTACTTGGAGGCTGAGGCAAGAGAATCACTTGAACCCAGGAGGTGGAGGTTGCAGTGAGCCAAGATTGCGTCGTTGGGCTGGGCGCGGTGGCTCACGCCTGTAATCCCAGCACTTTGGGAGGCCGAGGTGGGCGGATCACAAGGTCAGGAGATCGAGACCATCCTGGCCAGTATGGTGAAACCCCTCCTCTACTAAAAATACAAAAATCAGCTGGGCATGGTGGCATGTGCCTGTAGTACCAGCTGCTTGGGAGGCTGAGGCAAGAGAATCACTTGAACCCGGGAGGCGGAGGTTATAGTGAGCCGAGATCGCGCCACTGCACTCCAGCCTGGCAACAGTGAGACTCCATCTCAAAAAAAAAAAAAAAAAAGCGAACCGGCCGGGCACTGTGGCTCATGCCTATAATCCCAGCACTTTGGGAGACCAAGGTGGGTGGATCACTTGAGGTCAGGAGCAAGACTAGCCTGGCCAATGTGGCAAAACCCCATCTCTACTAAAAACAAAAATTAGCAAGGTGTCATGGCAGGTGCCTGTAATCCCAGCTACTTGGGGAGCTAAGGCAGGAGAATCACTTGAACCTGGGAGGCGGAGATTGCAGTGAGCCGAGATCGTGCCACTGCACTCCAGCCTGGGCGAAAGAGCGAGACTCAGTCTCAAAAAATAATAATAAATAAAATTAACAATTAAAGAATGCTAATCTAGAGGGTTCAAGGAAAAATACTGTATGGAAGGATTGTTTTAAACATAAAGCCTGGGCATAGTGGCTCAAACCTATAATCTCGGTACGTTGGCTGGCCAAGATAGGAGGATAGCTGGAGTCCAGGAGTTCAAGGCCGAACTATACAACTTAGACCCCGACTCCACCCCCTCAAAAAAAAAAGAAAAAAAGAAAATTAACGAGACCTGGTGGTGCATGTCTGTAGTCCCAGCTGACTGGGAGCCTGAGGCAGGAGGATTGCTTGAGCCCGTGAGTTCAAGGCTGTAGTGAGCTGTGATTGCGCCACTGCACTCCAGCCTGGGTGACAGAGTGAGACCCTGTCTCTAAAAAATAAACAAATGTTTATATGCCCCATGTTTATTTGGTTTTGATTTCTCAGTGCTTTCAAGTATAAACCTGGCTCTTACTCTGTTATTATTATTATCTTTTTTTTTTTTTTTTTTTGAGACAGAGTCTCGCTCTGTCACCCAGGCTGGAGTGCAGTGGCGTGGCTCACTGCAATCTCTGCCTCTCCAGTTCAAGCGTTTCTTCTGCCTCAGCCTCCCGAGTAGCTGGGGCTACAGGTGTGCGCCACCACACCCCGCTAATTTTTGTAGTTTTAGTAGAGATGGGGTTTCACCATGTTGGCTGGGCTGGTCTCAAACTCCTGACCTCAGGCATGAGTCACCACACCTGGCCTGCTCTGTTACTCTATGAGCATATAAGAATTATTTTAGGAGAGCTGCTACTTAAAAAAAAAAAAAAAATTAACTAGAATCCTAATTGTCATCATTTAGTTGTGACCTTTAGCTGTCACATCCCCAGTCTTTTTGGTATCTTTTTGTTCTTAGCCTCTTATTATTGATCCTGTTTCTTTGCTTGTTGACTTGAGGTTGGGTACCTACATAAAACTATTTATGTCAGTTTCCTTGATATGGTCCTGTCCTTTTTTACCTTGAGCAAGTGAAAGTTTAATGTGGTTTTTCTTACTAGTAATAAGAATATAAGTTAGGATTTTATGTCCAACTTCCTAATTTTAAAACCTCTTTCTTGTGACTTTGAACTTTCCTAAAACAAACATATGATTAGTTTATGTCAGAGCATAGTAATTTTTATGGTAATAAGTGGTTTTCTAAATATATTGAAAGATGAAATGTATACTGGAAGAGTCAGAAAGACCATTTAGGGTTTAGATAGCCTTTATTATTTATAATACTAAGTAGTCTCAAACTTACCTATTAATAGATATATTCAAATATATCTATTTCTATATTCAAATATATCTATTTTATATTCAAATATGTCTATTTTCTTGAGATTACCTGATTCTAAAGCTGAACATCTGAGAACCTAATTAATCTCTGACAAACTGGTACAGTCTTTTCAAAATGTGACCATTATTGAGCAAATGATTAGTTAGGAGGTCTAACCTAATGGAAATAATGTGTCTTCTTGTTTCTGTTACTTTTAAACTTTTAATGTGTCTTGTTTCTGATACTTTTAAACTTTTATTATGTATTTAAGTTTCTTTAGTGTTTTGTGTTTGAAACCTGTTATTTTTGGAACTTAGTATTATGTTTGAAAATCACTTATAAAAACAGTGGAGTTCATTAAAAGGAATAATAATATCACAATCAATTTACACTTAAAATGCTTGACTGAGCTTCCAGCTTTTTGTTTATTCTAGGAACTATCGTGAGCATAGGTGACCCTAAGAAAAAATATACAAGATATGAAAAAATTGGACAAGGGTAAGTATTTGTGACTGTATTACGATAATATTCAGTATTCAGTATTTCCTGGCTTTATAGCATGATGTTTATTTTGCCTGCCGACATCAAGTACTTATATAGTATTCTGTGAGTGGTACCCTTGGGGGATTTGTGTAAATAAATAATGCAGTTATTTGTAGATGCTGTTAAAAAACTGTACTAGTTGTTAGCAATGACTGTGTATCATTATTTTTTCTTAAGTGTCATTTCCCATCTGTGATAATTAGAGGGAAGAATTGCCCATAAAATATATTTAAAAGACAATAAGAATATTTACTGCATGACTATAAGCAATAAAAAATGCATTTAAATCATGTCATTGTGTATTGACTTTTGAGTCTACTGATCTTCTGATTTTGTTGTGTAATTTGTATTTTTAAAGTATACTAACTAAACTCCTTTTTTCTGTTGCTTGGAAGCAAATAAACACCTAAATTTTTAATGTTATTAAACTCTGGAAAGCATTCTGTGAATTTAGAGTGAGGGCTTAAGCCATTTTTGAAAACTTCCATATGAATTCCTTCCTCCCTTCCTTCCCTTCCCTCCCTCCCTTCCCTTCCCTTCCTTCCCTCCCTCCCCTCCCTCCCTTCCTTCCCTTCCCTCCCTTCCCTCCCTTCCCTCCCTCCCTTCCTTCCCTTCCTTTCCTTCCTTCCCTTCCCTCCCTTCCCTCCCTTCCTTCCCTCCCTTCCCTTCCTTCTCTTCCTTCCTTCCCTTTTTTTTTTTTTTTTTTTTTGGCGGAGTCTGTCACTCAGGCTGGAGTGCAGTGACATAATCTCAGCTCACTGCAACCTCTGCCTCCCGGGTTCAAACGATTCTTCTGCCTCAGCCTCCCAAAGTGTTGGGATTACAGGTGTGAGCCACTGCACCAGGCCTGAATTTCTTCCTAACAGCTAAATTCAATTGCAGCACTGGTTTTATGAAAGAGAATTGAAGATTATCTTACTATTTTTGAGCATGAATGAACAAGCAATACCTATCCATATGGATGACCATCACAAATCCAGTGTTGAGTCACAAAAGCAAGTTGCAGAATAATATGTGAAATGAAACTATATGACGTTTAAAAATTAGACAAAGTATATTTTATAGGGATACATATCTGCGTCCTTTGTAGTTAAAAGTATGGAGAAATGCATGAAAATGATGAACACCAAATACAGGATAAACACCAAATACAGATCACCTTTGGGAGGAAGGAGACTGCTGTCGGAAAGGGCTTATGGGAATCTTCAAATTATTTACAGTTATTTGTATCTTAATCAGGGAAGTGTATCCTTAAGTATATGTTATATAATTTTTTTCCTGCTCTTTTTTCCCTACATTTTTGTAGGTCTGAAATATTTCACACATAAGTTTTGCCGTAAGGATTGTCTCTTTCTTCCCCCACCCCCTTTCCTCAGGTTTTTGCTTTTACTCCTTTTAAGCACGTTAGGTCATCCTGTTCTTTAATTCTTTTTCAATTGCTTGAAGTGTAAAGTCTTTGGATATTGCAAATGCTAGTGATTTATCAACCTTAAATCTGGTTGTGTGTTTTCTCCCTCTAGGGCTTCTGGTACAGTTTTCACTGCTACTGACGTTGCACTGGGACAGGAGGTAGTTACTTTGTTGTAATCCTGGGTGTTACCATTATTTTGTCATATAGGTGGAAACTAGATGAAGCTGGGAAGAAGCAATAGGAACCTCTTTTAAGTTGAGCCCGTTGTAAGAATCGCTCTACGTATGTTTATAGCACTTCTGTCAGTAAGGCGGGGAAGGACTTATGAGTTCAATGTCATAAATAAGCAAATACTTAAAAATTGTTTCCTCAGCTTGAAGTGAAAAGAGGATTAATTCTTAGTATTGGACTGACTGTGGGTGTATTAATCAACTTCAAGATAAATCTAAAACTAGGTTCTAAACATTACAAAGCATTGTGCACAGGCAGTGTGCAAGGCAAGGTGCCACCTGGGAGTAATAGCATGGTGTAATACAGTACACGTACCGTGAGTTATCAACTGCTTGGGGTTTGTAATTTTCTAAGAGAATTCCTAAACCTGGTTTTTTTCAATCCTGTTTTCATTATAGGTTGCTATCAAACAAATTAATTTACAGAAACAGCCAAAGAAGGAACTGATCATTAACGAGATTCTGGTGATGAAAGAATTGAAAAATCCCAACATCGTTAACTTTTTGGACAGGTAAGTATGACTATTCCTTAAACACCGGGAGAAAATGTAGAAATTTTAAGTCTCATGGTTTCGGGGGTGGGGCTGGCCACTTTGGAATAAACTGTCAGTGCCGAGAAATAAGATGGAAGAAAGAAGAGGAGAGGTAAAAATAGCACAGTGCAGTTTTAGAAGGTCCTTCTCTGCAAGGACATCACTTGGCAGGTGAGAGAAGGCAGTTAATTGAAGGCCATAGCTGGTGGTGTTTATACTCATCGCAAACGACCTGAAGCGAACACATGAATGGTTGGCTGTGATTCGTGTCTTGACTGACAGAGGGGACTGGTTACATGGTTTTTAAACTTGTGGATCAATTTTTATTTCAAATGCTATCCTTCATGGACAAATTTATATGTCTATCAAAACCTCATTTAGTTGAGGAATTAATGTTAAATAACAGACCAAAAAGCAGAATAGAAAATGATGCATATTGGCTGGGTGCAGTGGCTCACACCTGTAATCCCAGCTACTCAGGAGGCTGAGGCAGGAGAATTGCTTGAACCCAGGAGGTGGAGGTTGCAGTGAGCCGAGATCGCACCACTGCACTCCAGCCTGGGCAATGGAATGAGACTCCATCTCAAAAAAAAAAAAAAAGAAAAGAAAATGATGTATATTACTACAACTGCATGAGAGAAGATTCGTTGAAAATGATAACAGTGGTTTTATTGAAGATAGAGGTGATTATAGGTGATTTTCTTCCATATTTAAATTTGTTTAGAATGAGGAAAAAATAATGTTTAGAGACTTTATCCCTAGTTATGGAGAACATGTTCATAGAAATAAACTTTTCAGGCTAGGCACGGTAGCTCACGCCTGTAATCCCAGCACTTTGGGAGGCCGAGGCAGGTGGATCACCAGGTCATGAGATCGAGACCATCCTGGCCAACGTGGTGAAACCCTGTCTCTACTAAAAATACAAAAATTAGCTGGGCATGGTGCCGCACACCTGTAGTCCCAGCTCCTCAGGAGGCTGAGGCAGGAGAATTGCTTGAACCCAAGAGGTGGAGGCTGCAGTGAGCCGAGATCGCGCCACTGCACTCCAGCCTGGCAACAGAGCAAGACTCTGTCTCAAAAAAATAAATAAAAAATAAACTTTTCAGGTACAGTTCCCTGCTTTTTAAAATAACATTTCAAGTCAGCATAGTGTGGTGGTTAAGATAAGCCAGGGGCTTCGGAATCGTTGATCCTTGGCTTCATATTCTGGTTCTGTCACTTCCTATTAATAGCTGTGTGCCCTTGGATGAGTCACTTCACCTCTCCAAGCCTTTGTCTGTTTATCTCTAAAACAGGACTAGTAATTTCTATATTGTAGGGTTATTTTAATCAGAATGAGCTATGTGCATACTCAAACTACAGTTGTGGGCAAACTGTAACTTTAAAATGATTCAGGATCATAACTTCAGTTATTTTTCTGTGCTGTTACGTAGCAGCTTTCCAGTTTTCTTCCTAACTCTCAAGCTACCAGCTCTAGTTTTATTGTTAGGGTGTTTAATATTTGAATTCTTCAACATAGAATACCATGTGTTTAGGAAAAATAAAAGTGTGACTGTATTTGGTATGTTGTATTTTTAGTTACCTGGTAGGAGATGAATTGTTTGTGGTCATGGAATACCTTGCTGGGGGGTCACTCACTGATGTGGTAACAGAAACGTGCATGGATGAAGCACAGATTGCTGCTGTATGCAGAGAGGTAGGTTTGCCTCCTTCTTGATATGTTATGGTGATATGTGGTTAGCAAGAAGTGAACAAAAGGAAATTTTTCTGCACAGGTAATTGTTATTGTGGGAGGTGCTTTCTCTGTATACATTCTCTGCAAATTACTCCATCTCCGTGCCATTTCATCCTACACAGGAGTTTCAGCCCTTTCCTTCAGGTATAAGATAATTTGGGAATGAATTGTGGACCTTTGAAGATCCAGATTCACAAGGAAATTCTGGTAGAGTGATGATGATCATTTACCATCCAAACAGGACACTTTTGAGAGTAAAAGGGTATATATCATTAGAAATACACCACTCAGGCTGGGCGCGGTGGCTCACGCCTGTAATCCCAGCACTTTGGGAGGCCGAGGCGGGTGGATCACAAGGTCAGGAGATCGAGACCATCCTGGCTAACACGGTGAAACCCTGTCTCTACTAAAAATACAAAAAAATTAGCCGGGCGTGTTGGCAGGTACCTGTAGTCCCAGCTACTCAGGAGGCTGAAGCAGGAGAATGGCGTGAACCTGGGAGGTGGAGCTTGCAGTGAGCCGAGATCACACCACTGCACTCCAGCCTGGGCAACAGAGCGAGAGTCCGTCTCAAAAAAAAAGAAAAAGAAATACACCACTTAGCTGGAAGTGGTGGCTCATGCCTGTAATCCTAGCACTTTGGGAGGCCAAGGCAGGCAGATTCCCTGAGGTCAGGAGTTTTGAGACCAGCCTGGGAAACATGGCAAAACCCCATCTCTACTAAAAATACAAAAATTAGCCAGGCATGGTGGTGCACGCCTGTAATCCCAGCTACTCGCGAGGCTGAGGCGGGAGAATCGCTTGAGCTGAGGAGGCAGACATTGCAGTGAGCCAAAATTGCGCCACCGCACTCCATCCTGGGCAACAGAGCAAGATTGTCTCAAAAAAAAAAAAAAAGAGGCTGGGTACAGTGTCTCTCGCCTGTAATACCAGCACTTTGGGAGGCCGAGGCGGGCAGATCATGAGGTCAAGAGATTGAGACCATCCTGACCAACACGGTGAAACCCCGTCTCTACTAAAAATACAAAAATTAGCTGGGTGTGGTGGTACGCGCCTGTAGTCTCAGCTACTCGGGAGGCTGAGACGGGAGATTAGCTTGAACCCAAGAGGCGGAGGTCACAGTGAGCCGAGATCGTGCCACTGCATTCCAGCCTGGCGACAGAGCAAGACTCCGTCTCAAAAAAAAAAAAGAGAAAGAAATACGCCACTCAACCGTGGAAACTAGAACTATCTCAGGTCAAGCAGGACACTTATTTGCCTTCAGTATCAATAAGTCTGTGCCTGGCTTCATTGAGTTCACTAATGGTGAAGAAACCGGTTATTTCTTTATATTCATTAATGAATTTCTAGACATATTATTAGCTTAAACCAGTAGAATTCTGCCAAATTGCCAATTTAAGCCAAAAATAAGCCTTCTTTTTTCCACCTATATCTGAGCTTTTTCTACAGATAAGATTTGGGCTAATGGTTTGCTTATTGTCATTGAAACTTCTAATGTCATAGGAATCACTGTCACAAAGGGCAAAACTTTAAGTTTATAAGACTATATTGTGTTTTCTATGATTTGGCTTTCAGCAGTTCTTCAGTGACATGTGAATTACAAACTTTGTTCATGTAAGGATGATACATATATATTTCCCTTTTCCATCTGTCATTAAGGTGTTAAAAATATTAAAATTTTAATTCTGATTTGTGTTCTACCTGAGGAATAGTACCTCTTTGGTAGAAGGGAGGAAATAAGAACTCTTGAATAGAATATTAATAGAATATGATAGTCCTTAACAATGCATGCTTGGTCACTGAAAAGCTGATAAAAACAAGAATTTACCTATTTATACTTAATTTTGTTTTTTCTAATACATTTCTTTGTAATTGATATAAAAATTAATTTTGGAAGTTCCTCTAATTTGGGTTTTCTTTTGTGTGCCAGAACTTTTAAACTGTGACGAGTTTGTTTCTATTTATTTGTACAAGTATTTTCTGGAGCTTTGAATCTGATGATTGCCTGGTAAATGTATTGCGGTAACACCCAATTTATCTGTTTTTCCTTGAATGAATAGTAGAAGATTTTGGATGAGATTTTTAGTTGTACAGACTTTGTTCTCCTCTGATGGGAGTAAGAAATAAAAGCACAGCTAACTTACACCCGTAGTTCAAAAACACAAGAGTGAGCAGATTTTTAAAACGTCATCTCGTTCTCGTTTGTAAGGAAAGGAGTAGTTTACCCCCACTTTGTGACTCAGTGCTCTCTGAAATATGGCATAAGAGGAAAGTTATTCTTGCATCATTCATGTCCAAGTTGTAGATACAGCTTAATATAAAATCGGGCACTGAAGAACATCTTCTTTCTGATGAACAGCTAAGTGGAACCAGGCCACCCAGAATCTTACCCGCTTCTCAGTGGCTCACATTGATTAGCCTTCTGAGTATCTCATGTTCAAATGGGAATGATCAAGGTTTTTTCATTACTGTTGAAAAGATTTCTGAGGAGCCTGTGCATGTTTACCAAGTGTTGTATACCTTTAGGCATTTAAACCTGAAAGAGGCAATTTTTTTTTTTTTTTTTTTTTTTTTTGAGACTGAGTCTTGCTCTGTCGCCCAGGCTGGAGTGCAGTGGCACAATCTCAGCTTACTGCAATCTCTGCCTCCTGGATTCAAGGGATTCTCCTGCCTCAGCCACCCAAGTAGCTGGGATTACAGGCCTGAGGCACCACACCTGGCTAATTTTTCTTTCTTTCTGTCCGTCTTTTTTTGTTTTTTCGAGATGGAGTCTTGCTCTGTCACCCAGGCTGGAGTGCAGTGGTGCGATCTTGGCTCAGTGCAAGTTCCGCCTCCCAGGTTCAAGCGATTCTGCTATCTCAGCCTCCTGAGCAGCTGGGGTTACAGGTGCACACCACCACACCCAGCTGTTTTCTTTGTATTTTTAGCAGACACAGGGTTTCACCATGTTGGCCAGGCTGGTCTCGAACTGCTGACCTCAGGTGATCCACCCGCCTCGGTCTCCCAAAGTGCTGGGATTACAGAAGTGAGCCACCATGCCTGGCCTCCCCTGGCTAATTTTTGTATTTTTTAGTAGAGATGGGGTTTTGCCATGTTGGCCAGGCTGGTCTTGAATTCCTGCCCTCAAGTGATCTGCCTGTCTCACCCGGCCAGGAGGCAAGACATTATACAGACCCAGCTAAACAATGTCTCTGAGTAAGATCAGAGGGTAGGAGCGGATCTACTGACTTTTTAAAAAATTTTATTTTCTTATATAAAACTTTAAGGAGGAGATCTAATTACTTTTCATAACTTTGTATATAAGAGAGGATGTTTTTTCTTTATAAATAAAAGTATTGGAGGGTCTTCTGCTGGGCACTGGAAGCAATGCTCAGGCCATAGCTACTGCATGTGCCTCCCTGTGTCTTTTCAGGGACTATTTCATTAATAGGTGTTTTTCTTCTGTTCAGTGTTTACAGGCATTGGAGTTTTTACATGCTAATCAAGTGATCCACAGAGACATCAAAAGTGACAATGTACTTTTGGGAATGGAAGGATCTGTTAAGCTCAGTGAGTAACAAATGGACAATTCACAATCATTTATTATAATTTTCTGCCTTTTGTTTAATTAAAAACTTTTCTTGACCAATGCAAGGATTAATAATGATTTAATATAGGAAGAGGTGAGACCTTTGAAAACTGAGTGATCCTCTGAGGGTTTTAACTAATCAGTGCCAGAGAAAGGACTCGCTGGATAAGACATTACCTAATAATTACCACTAGATAAGACATTATTAGGTAATGTCTTGTCTTGTCTTTTTGAGATGGAGGTTTGCTCTTGTTGCCCAGGCTGGAGTGCAACCTCCGCCTCCTGGGTTCAAGCGATTCTCCTGCCTCAGCCTCCTGAGTAGCTGGGATTACAGGTGTGCACCACCACACCCAGCTAATTTTTGTGTTTTTAGTAAAGACGGGGTTTCTCCACATTGGTCAGGCTGGTCTCTAGCTACTGAACTCAGGTATCTTCCCGCCTCAGCCTCCCAAAGTGCTGGGATTACAGGCGTGAGCCACCGCGGCTGGCCATGATTGCTTATTTTTAAGTAATCTTAATGGGGAAGCTCTCATACATTTTTGGTGAATACACATGAAAATGAATTAAACTTTTGGATGACATTTTTTTTTTCTGGCTCTGCCATTTACTAAGTGAATAACCTTGGATAAGTTGTCTTTATGCCTCAGTATTCCTATTTGTAAAATGGGAATAATTGTAATAATAAATGTACCTTTCTCATAGGGTTACCATGCGGATTAAATATTTTAATTCTTATAAGGTACTTAAACAGTATCTGGATTGTTTTAAGTACTCATTTTAGCTATAAATATTGTTTGACCTAACTGTTACTCTTGTAGAATTCTCTCCTGTAGAATTTCTGAACTTACATACCGCAGTAAGTACAAGGATGTTCTCTGCAATATTGTAAAGAAAAACCAAAACTATCTTAAGTGTTGAGCAGTAAGGGAATAATTACATGGATTATTATATTTTTATATTCTGTATAGTTTTTAAGATGAGGGAGGCCGGGTGCAGTGGCTCACGCCTGTAATCCCAGCACTTTGGGAGGTCGAGGCAGGTGGATTGCTTGAGCCCAGGAGTTTGAGACCAGACTGAGCAACATGGCAAGACTCCATCTCTACTAAAAATACAACAATTAGCCGGGCGTGGTGGCAGGCGCCTCTAGTCCCAGCTACTCAGGAGGCTGAGGCAGGAGGATGGCTTGAGCACAGGAGGCAGAGGTTGCCGTGAGCCGAAATTGCTCTACTGCACACAGCGTGGGCAACAGAGTGAAACCCTGTGACAAAAAATTTTAAAATAAAAAATTTTTTAAATAGGCAGATGTACTAATATGGAAAGATCTCAAGAAATGGTTTTACCAAAGTTTACAGAGTATCCTGATTGGTAATACAAACCAAACCGTTCATAGATATTATTCATGCATATGTACATGCATAACCAACAGTCTAAAGCTTACAAACCTAAATTTTAACAGTAGTCACATATGAAATGGAATGGGTTTAACAGTATAAGAAAGAATTCTAAATACTAATCCTGACTTTTCCACTAAATGAACATTGAGTACTACACTAGGCATCCTGCACCTCCATTACAGGTGAGATTGAGAAGATAATGCTGGTGGCGACCTTAGGCTCTCTGCTGAGATGATGGATGTTTAGTGATTCTGGCTTCTGTTTGTTTTATTCAAAAATAGTTTACAGCTGGGTGTGATGGCGCACACTTGTAATCCCAACACTTTGGGAGGCCAAGGTGGGAAGATCCCTCCCATGTTGCCCAGGAGTTCAAGACCAGCCTAGGCAACACAGGGGGACTCTGTCTCTACAAAAAATTTTAAAAATTAAACAAAATTAAAAGACAAAGTAGTTTCCATGACCTGACCTTTACCTGATTCACTGCATTTAGTTTTGGTGTCTACTTTTGCTTTACTTTTTCGTAGACCTCTTTCAGTTTTATTAAATTTTTTAGGATAGAATGAATTATTCAGAATAAAAGGCCTCCTGATAATTTGGACTCTGTGGCAAGTAAAAGTAAAATGTGAGAGTGTGTTACATCATGAAAATATTTTTAAACTCATTCTGGTTTACTTTATTAATGAAATCTTTAAAAACAAGAGGCCTAATAGTCAAAATATAATTAATTACATAATCTGAAGTGAACTCTTCTGCTAAAACCATCCATGGAAGCCATTAACTCTGTTTTGTTTTGTTTTGTAGCTGACTTTGGTTTCTGTGCCCAGATCACCCCTGAGCAGAGCAAACGCAGTACCATGGTCGGAACGCCATACTGGATGGCACCAGAGGTGGTTACACGGAAAGCTTATGGCCCTAAAGTCGACATATGGTCTCTGGGTATCATGGCTATTGAGATGGTAGAAGGAGAGCCTCCATACCTCAATGAAAATCCCTTGAGGGTAAGATGAGTTAAACACCAGCCTTGTTCAATGTTTTTCTTTGAAACTCTTATTTAGAACTTGCACGTGCCTGGCACTGTCCAAGAATTTAAAGTAGAAGGTTGATAAAACCTAATCTCTGCCCCTAACTCTGCATCTAGAAATCATTTGCTCTCTGAGTTACAAATTAATGTGTTAGGTGAAGACTTTGTAGGTTTTTAGTAGTAAGCTGTATTGTTTTGTATTTTACGTAGGAAGTTTGGAGCACCTGTCTCTAAAGCTTCTCCTTCTTTTATTTTTTAAGATGTTTTGAGACAGGGTCCCACTCTCTTGCCTATTCTAGAATGCAGTGGCGCAATCTCAGCTCACTGCAACCGCCACCTCCCAGGTTCAAGCGATCCTCCTACTTCAGCCTCCTGAGTAGCTGGGACTATGGGTGCGTGCCACCACACCCAGCTGATTTTTGTACTTTTCATAGAGACGGGGTCTCTCCATGTTGGGTCAGGCTGGTCTCAAATTCTTGACCTCAGTTGATCCACTCGCCTCGGCTTCCCAAAGTGCTGGCATTACAGGTGTGAACAACTGCACCTGGCCACTTCTCTTTTTTTTAAATTACCATATGTGGCTCAACATTATCAGTTATTAAGGAAATGTAAATCAAAACCTCAACAATCAGAGGCTGAGGCAAGAGAATTGCTTGAACCCAGGAGGTGGCAGTTGCGGTGAGCCAAGATAGCACTACTGCACTCCAGCCTGGGCGACAGGGTGAGACTCTGTCTCAGCAAAAAACAACAAAAAACCCCACCACAACAGGATAACACTTCACAACTACTAGAATGGCTGTACTCAAAAAGACAATTAATAAATATTGGTGACCGGGTGCGGTGGCTTACACCTGTAGTCCCAGCACTTTGGGAGGCTGGGGTTGGAAGTTCAAGATCAGCCTGACCAACATGGAGAAACCCCATCTTTACTGAAAATACAAGATTAGCTGAGCATGGTGGTGGGTGCCTGTAATCCCAGCTACGTGGGAGGCTGAGGCAGGAGGATCACTTGAACCCAGGAGGCGGAGGTTGCAGTGAGCCGAGATCATGCCATCGCACTCCAGCCTGGTCGACAAAGCGAAACTCCGTCTCCATAAATAAATAAATAAATGTTGGTGAGAAGATAAGGAAACTAGAAATCTCGTTCATTGCAAAATATAAAATGGTACATCTGCTTTGGAAAACAACTTGACAATTCTGTGTGAAGTTAATACGGAATTACCAGATGACCTAGCGGTTCCTCTGCTGGGTACAGAGCCAAGAGAATTAAAATCATACATCCATACAGAAACCTTCATGCAGCCACAGAAGTGGAAATAATTCAAACCTGGTGAACAGTGGAATATTATTTGGTCATAGAAAGGAAGGAAGTGCCAATCCGTGTTACAGCATTGAACCTTGAGAGTACTGTGCTAAGTGAAAGAAGCCGAACAACAGATGGCAGCAGATTCTGACCGTCTGTTTCCTGAATGCTTTTCATCCAGTTGCCAAAGATTCCAGTTTATGTGGGCCGTTAAAGTACTTCTATAGAGGTGATTAGTTTAGACCACTTTTCAGAATGACATTAAAGCCCTCTAATGTTATTCATTCATTTAGCCAGTATTGGTTTGGGTACCTGCCATGCGCTGAGCACTATTCACAATGCTGTCTAAAAGAACCCACAAAAATTCCTGCTCTTACAGAACTTGTCTTCTAGTGGGAAAAGAGAAAAACAAAATAAATCAGAATAATGTGTCATACATTGAATAATGGACTCTTGAGTACTGAGACTGGCAGGAAGGAGGTTAGGGTGTTTACTTTCAAAAGGTGCTTAGAGAGCTGGGCACAGTGGCTCACGCCTGTCATCCCAGCATTTTGGGAGGCCAAGGTGGGAGGATTGCTTGAGCCTAGGAGTTCAAGGCCAGCCTAGGCAACATAGTGAGTCCCCATCTCTACAAAAAAATTTAAAAATTAGCCAAGCATGTTAGTGTGTGCCTGTAGTCACAGCTAATTGGAACCATCATCCTGCCCCAGTGCGTGGGTCACTTGGGCCCAAGGAAGATGAGGCTGCAGTGAGCTGTTATCACATCACTGCACTCCAGCTTGGGTGACGGCTAGGACCTGTCTCAAAAAAAATACAATAAAAATAAAATGTAAAATTAAATCAAAAGCGTGCATAGGGAGGGCTTCCCTGAGGTGACATTTGGACACAGGAAGTAAGAGCGTGATACTTACCTGAGGGAAAAGCATTCTAAGCAGAAGGCACAGCAAGTGCAAAAGCTCTAAAGCAGGAGCGTTCCTTGTGTATTGAGAGATGATTCTGGACCTCAGCACAGCTGGCGTACGCTGAGCAAACAGCGAGAGGTGCGGTCGATCGGCGAAGAAACCAGGCCAGACCGTAGTGCCTTATGAGAGCTCTGGAAGGATTCTGGCTTTTACTGGAGGCCAAATGGGGAAACTGTTAGAGAGATCTGAGCAGAGAAGCAAAGTGGTCTCCTTCAGTTTTAATAGGATTTCCCTGGCTGCGTTGTTGAGAGATCCCTGAGGAAGGCAAAGGCAGAGCAGAAGACCAGTCAAGAGGCTGATGTCATAATTCAGGCAAGCAGTGATGATGGCCTAGACCAGGGCAGTATCAGTGGAGGTGGGAAAAAGTGGTGTGAGTCTGGATGTATTTTGAAAGAAGAGTCTACATGAGAGAGAAAAGACTAACGGGATCTGTTCCCAAGTAACTCAACTGCATTCCTGTACAAAGCTGAAGAGTCTTACAGGGCTGCGTCTATAGCCAGGAGTACGCTCAGGCTTCAGAAGAGGCTCGCCTCCAGTGGCCTTCACTGTGGCAAAAAGGTCTACTTGAACCTCAGTGAGATCGGTAAAATCACCAGCGCCAAGCTCCTATCAGCAGATCCAGAAGCTGATCAAAGATGGGCTGATCATCTGCAAGCCTGTGACTATCCATTCCCAGGCTGGATCCCCGCAAACAAACAAACAAACAAACAAACAAAAAAAACACCTTGGGCCGGGCACGGTGGCTCATGCTTGTAATCTCAGCACTTTGGGAGGCCGAGGTGGGCAGATCACTTGAGGTCAGGAGTTCATGACCAGCCTAACATGATGAAACCTCGTCTCTACTAAAAATACAAAAATGAGCCAGGCATGGTGGCGTGCACCTGTATTCCCAGCTACTCGAGAGGCTGAGGTGGGAGAATTGCTTGAAACTGGGCGACAGGGAGAGATTCTGTCGCAAAAAAAAAAAAAAAGAAAAAAACACCTTGGCCCACAGGCATATGGGCATAACTGCTAATGCACACATTACCAAAAAGGCAGCCTGGATGAGGAAGATGAGAATTCCACCCCAGCTGCTCAGAAGACACTATGAATCTACCGAGATTGACCTTCACGTGTATCAGAGCCTGTACATGAAGTGAAGGGGGACGTGTTCAGAAACAAGCAGGTTCTTCGGAACTCATTCCAAGCTGAAGATAGACAAGGCCTCAAGAAGCTTCTCATTGACCAGGCCAGGGCACATGGCTCTAAGACCAGGAAAGCACTGTAGTTCCACGGAGAGTGCCTCTGGGCCAAGAGAAAATCATTAAGACTGTCCCAGGAGGAAGAAACTAAGAAATAAAGGTCTCCCTCTCTCGTCTGTACATAGTGGATCTTGGTGATTACATAGATCCAGTCATTCAAATACAACAAGATTTTATCTGCCTGATGGGGGGAAAAAGCATATTGGTAGGAATACAGAAATAGCCAGGACCCAGCAATCACCCAGACATCAGTCAAAGTTTACCAGACAGGCAAAGGAGCAGGCAGATGCAGCCCATAATGAGAAAAACTTCCAGGCAACTGGAACGGACAGAAGTTCATTAAAACAATCTCACGACTGCATTTCAGTTGTAAGAACTTTAAATGCATATTGCTTAGTGAAAGAATCCAGTCTAAAAAGGCTACATATTATTTCAACTGTAGAGAGTAAAAATGATTAGTGGTTATGGGGTTTGGCAGGGGATCGGGGGTAGAGAGGATGAGTAGGTGAAGCACAGGGAATTTTTTTGGGCAGTGAAATTACTTTGTATGATATTATAATGGCGGACACTGGAGAGCATTCATTTGTCAAAGCCCATGGAACAACTAGGCACGGTGGTGCACACCTGTAGTCCCTGCTGCTTGAAAGGCTGAAGCAGGAGGATCTCTTGACCCCAGGAGTTCAAGGCCAGCCTGGGCAACATATCGAGAATGCATTAAAAAAAAAAACAAGACCATAGGACTGTGTAATGTAATACAGAGTGAACCCTAATGTAAACTGAGGGCTTTAATTTAATAGAAGTGTATCAATATTGGTTCATTTGTAACAAATGTCCCATAGTATAATAATGTAGACAATAATAAAACTCCACATTGGGGAGGTTGCGTGTGGGAACTCTGTACTATCTGTTCAATTTTCTGTAAACCTAAAACTTCTAAAAAATTAGTCAGTTAAAAATAATAATTTAGGACCAGACGCAGCGGCTCATGCCTGTAATACCAGCACTTTGGGAGGCCAAGGTGGGCAGATCGCTTGAGGTTAGGAGTTTGAGACCAGCCTGGCCAATGTGGTGAAACCCCACCTCTACTAAAAATACAAAAATTAGTCAGGCGTAATGGTGCATGCCTGTACTCCCAGCTACTCGGGAGGCTGAGCTGCAAGAATTGCTGGAACCCGGGAGGCAGAGGTTGCCATGTGTTGAGATCATGCCACTGCATTCCAGCCTGGGCAACAGAGCGAGACTGTGTCTGAAAAGAAAAATAAATAGGCCAGATGCAGTGGCTCACACCTGTAATCCCAGCACTTTGGGAGGCCAAGGCGGGCAGATCACAAAGTTGGGAGTTTAAGACCAGCCTGGCCAACACAGTGAAACCCCGTCTCTACTGAAAATACAAAAAATTAGCCGGGCATTTTGGCGGGCGCCTATAATCCCAGCTACTCGGAAGGCTGAGGCAGGAGAATCGCTTGAACTCAGGAGGTGAAGGTTGCATCGAGCTGAGATCGTGCCATTGCATTCCAGCCTGGGCCACAGAGCCAGACTCCGTCTCAAAAATAAATAATAAATAAATAAATAAATAAAATTCAATTTATAGAAATGTAAAGGAAATAATTAGAACTATGTAAGGATTTTCTAAAGGGAGTTGATTAAATTAGGAAACATTCATATAAGGCAATATTTACTTAAGCCATTACAGTAATTTTATAGATCTAGGTAGTTATTAGTAATGATGACCTGGGATAATTTGTTTTTTTGGTTTTTATTTTTGAGACAGAGTCTTGCTGTCTTGTCCAGGCTGGAGTTACAGTGGTGCAATCTTGGCTCACTGCAACCTCCACCTCCCATATTCAAGCAGTTCTCCTGCCTCAGCCTCCCGAGTAGCTGGAACTACAGGCATGTGCCACCACACCCAGCTAATTGTTTTTTTTTTGTATTTTTAGTAGCGATGGGGTTTTGCCATGTTGCCCAGCCTGGTCTCGAGCTCCTGAGCCCAGGCAATCCACTTGTCTCAGCATCCCAGAGTGCTAGGATTACAGGCATCAGCCACCATGCCCAGCCTAATTTGTTTTTGTTTGTTTGTTTGTTTGTTTATTTTTGGGACGGAGTCTCGCTCTGTCGCCCAGGCTGGAGTGCAGTGGCGCAATCTCGGCTCACTGCAAGCTCTGCCTCCCGGGTTCACGTCATTGTCCTGCCTCAGCCTCCCGAGTAGCTGGGACTACAGGCGCCCACCACCACGCCCGGCTAATTTTTTGTATTTTTTAGTAGAGACAGGGTTTCACCATGTTAGTCAGGATGCTCTCAATCTCCTGACCTCGTGACCGGCCCGCCTTAGCCTCCCAAAGTACTGGGATTACAGGCGTGAGCCACCATGCCCGGCCTTGGTTTTTTTTTGTTTTGTTTTTTGTTTTTTAAGTTTTAACAAATCTCATTTTTTTTAATGATATGTATGACTTGAAAAAAATTTGAGAAACCTAAACAGGATGGTCAATGGTGAGGTTGTGGTTATTTTTAATTATTAACATTGTTTTATTTTTTAAAGCAATATGGGCTGGGCACAGTGGCTCACACCTGCAATCCAGCACTTTGGGAGGCCGAGGCAGGTGGATCATTTGAGGTCAGGAGTTCAAGACCAGCCTGACCAATATGATGAAACCCCACCTCTACTAAAAATACAAAGATTAGCAGGTCATGGTGGTATGCATCTGTAATCCCAGCTACTCGGGAGGCTGAGGCAGGAAAGTCACTTGAACCCAGGAGGCAGAGGTTGCAGTGAGCCAAGATTGCACCACTGCACTCCAGCCTGGGTGACAGAGCAAGATTCCGTCTCAACAAAAAAAAACAAAACAAAAGCAATATGTATTGCATTTATAACCGAAGAAAAACCAAAGGTGAATCTGATTTCAGAAAAGTAACTTAAGGAAATGTAACATCTAAAAATAAGAGGAAAGTATCAAATCTAAATTTAAATGGGATAATGATAACCCCAGTTTAGTATTTATGGTGATTTTCTTTAAAGAAGAAAGAATCCCTTAGACTTTATGGAGTGCTCTGTGACCGTGTTGAGCTATCTTAAGTGGATCAAAGATGTTCTTCTATTTTTAGGCCTTGTACCTAATAGCAACTAATGGAACCCCAGAACTTCAGAATCCAGAGAAACTTTCCCCAATATTTCGGGATTTCTTAAATCGATGTTTGGAAATGGATGTGGAAAAAAGGGGTTCAGCCAAAGAATTATTACAGGTAAATTTAAAAATGATTTCATTTGGGGGAATAGTTGACTTTTTTGGTAACCGACAGAAAGCTTTCCTAGGGCTAATAAGTAGATTTCACTACTCATTGATCACCAGCGGTATGGCAGCTGCTGCAATTTAGGGTTTCATCCTACCATGCTGAGCAAACTACCGCAAGGACAGAAAACCAAACACTGCATGTTCCCACTCATAGGTGGGAATTGAACAATGAGAACACCTGGACACAGGAAGGGGAACATCACACACCGGGGCCTGTTGTGGGGTGGGGGGAGTGGGGAGGGATAGCATTAGGAGATATACCTAATGTAAATGATGAGTTAACAGGTGCAGCACAGCAACATGGCACATGTGTACATATGTAACAAACCTGCACGTTGTGCGCATGTACCCTAGAACTTAAAGTATTAAAAAAAAAAGTGAGGGTTTCATCTGCTGTGAATAAAATTCTGACAAAACCGTAATGTGCAGTTTGTGCATCGTATCAATCCTCAGACCTGTTTACAGTTTGTGCATCGTATCAATCCTCAGACCTGTTTACAGTTTGTGCATCGTATCAATCCTCAGACCTGTTTACAGTTTGTGCATCGTATCAATCCTCAGACCTGTTTACAGTTTGTGCATCGTATCAATCCTCAGACCTGTTTACAGTTTGTGCATCGTATCAATCCTCAGACCTGTTTACAGTTTGTGCATCGTATCAATCCTCAGACCTGTTTACAGTTTGTGCATCGTATCACTCCTCAGACCTGTTTATTGCTGTTGTGTGTATATTTGTCAAACTAAAATGATTCTGCTTTCATTCAACTCTGAAAGTAATGCGTTGATTATGTTAGTCTTATGAAGGTATTAATATGTGTTTAGTTTATTAAATTATGATCGACAAGTAGTCTTTGGGGCTTAATTGAACAAAATTATTTTGTTTCTAACCTGATGAATGGCACTTATACATTTATTTTTCCCCTTCTTTCTGGCAGCATCCTTTCCTGAAACTGGCCAAACCGTTATCTAGCTTGACACCACTGATCATGGCAGCTAAAGAAGCAATGAAGAGTAACCGTTAACATCACTGCTGTGGCCTCATACTCTTTTTTCCATTTTCTACAAGAAGCCTTTTAGTATATGAAAATTATTACTCTTTTTGGGGTTTAAAGAAATGGTCTGCATAACCTGAATGAAAGAAGCAAATGACTATTCTCTGAAGACAACCAAGAGAAAATTGCAAAAAGACAAGTATGACTTTTATATGAACCCCTTCTTTAGGGTCCAGAAGGAATTGTGGACTGAATCACTAGCCTTAGGTCTTTCAGCAAACAGCCTATCAGGGCCATTTATCATGTGTGAGATTTGCATTTTACTTTGCTGACTTTGTTGTAATAGATCCCATTCATTGTCCCCTTTGGGGTATTTCCAATACTTGAATGGCAGATTGGAGTTTTTCAGAGTATGTGTTTCATCTGCTAGTCTTTCTCTCCTTCATAGCTTTTCTTTTCCTGGACTTGCTCCTTTTGAGTTGCTTTTGCGTTTCTCATGCCTAGGCAAGTGTAATAGAAATTATGTAGCTCCTTATGTTGGCAAAGGAGCTCTATATAGTTTCACTTTGTATAAAAGTTAGGACCAGCTGTTGTTACATGTAATATTTTAGTTCAGAACTTGACCTGAAGGAAGGGAAGAAAAGTATGTGATTTTTACCTTTTTTAACAAATGTGAAAAAGTCAGTTTTAGAAATTTCGTGGTAGTAAGTTCGGCATTTGTTACATGTATAGAGAGAAGACTAATAATCTCTATTTATAACTAAATCATTGAGATAGAAAAAGATTCCCATTGACTGTAGACTTCTTCCCATTTTGTCTTCCCTTCTGCCTGTTTCCCCTTCAGGCTTGGCTCTAGGAACCAAAGTGATTTGTTGTTGTTCCAACCTGGGCTTTGTGACTTTGGTTAGTGCCACTACCTTCTTCCCTCCTTTCCCCCTTCAATTTGGAAATAAATTTCTGTATATGTTGCAATTTTAGGTTTAGGTTTGTTCTTTTTCTTTTTCATTAATCCTCTCTCACCTCACAGATACCCCCTCCCATGGCAAATAATATAATAACCAGTGAATTTTCAGGAATTTAAAAATTAGCTTTTTTCCACTTAAAGGAGAAAAATATTTGGGACTAGCAGCAGAGGCAGTAAGAGATGTGAACCTTGGTGAGCTCTGATACAGTGAGAAGAGATTATACTCATGAAAGAGAATGTTAGTGTTACAGAGAAGCAGCCGATAGCAAATCGACTGTAGAGACTTGGCGGCGGTGGCATTGCCCCAGGTCGTCAGCAGTGTGGTATTATCTATGAGAACTTGAGCGACAGAGTATTTCTTGATGAATTTATAGATCATTTGAGATGTTGAGTTACTTTAGTTTAGTTTTGTTTTGTTTTTTCAAATAAGTAGAGACTATTGTAAAAAACGAGAAAGGAAAATGAAATGTGCGTGTTGATAGCAATAATTTGTTTCTTTTAAAGATTCTAAAAGGTCTGAGACCTGTAGCATTAATTATTTGAGTGCCCTCCCTTCTCCCCTCCCCTCCCTTTTCTCTTCTCTTTTTTCCTCTCCTCTTCTTCTCCTTTATTCATTGTTTTGCTTTTGGAGTGGGTGTTGTTCAAGTATCTGTGGTTTGGTTCTGGCATTTTGTTCCCACCATCCCCTTCCCCCATTAACTTCCCCCCTGCTTGCCATCCTGCAGTAGTATAAATCATGAATAAAAAATAATTTTGCTGTTGTAGTATACATTGGAGAAACTGGCAGGTTTTATTTCCATTATTTTATTTCCACTATATCTATGATAAGATGCAATTATAAGGAGAGAAGTGACTGTTTTTTATTGATAAGGCAAGATTTTCAGAAAAATGAGTAAAATAATTAATGAAACATATTTAGAGCACTTAATGGTCTCTGTTTTCAATATAATTCTTGATTTCATTTTTCTCTGGAATATATTGGCCTTCTACAGCTATTACTGAATTATAGAAACTGGTTTATTTCTGGCAGAAAGCTGCAGTGCCACCTGAGTTCCAAATTTTACCATTCTTTGTAAACAGTTGGATGGATTATGATAAAGAAGATGCTACCAATGAAATAGAAAACCAACGAGATGAGAAGACTGTGATCCTCATGTACTCAGAGGCACTTCCCTCCTAAGTCAAAGACCATCCTCACTGACTATGTGCCAACGCCTCGTTTCAGGCTTGTGACTCAACAAAGGGCTTTTCCATTGATAGAAGCAGTTTGGGATTTGTAGTTGCGACTTCTTCGATAGTTACCTGCACGTCCATTGCTGGCAACTGACTTGTCATTAAAACCTGGCTCTTTGGTTAAGGGAGCTACGCTGTGGTTTATTCTTAAGTTACGTGGATAAACTAACCTCTAACAGAAATATACTTTGGTTAATTTTGAAATGTGTCATTTTTAAACAATCTTAAAAGTAATACAGAATTGTGATTTATTAATTTTAAAACATTCAGAACTTGTTGAAAGAAAAATTATATCTGAATCAAGATTCATGTTTTTTATTTTTATTTTTTTTGATACAGAGTCTCACTCTGTCACTCAGGCTGGAGTGCAGTGACATGATCTCAGCTCACTGCAACCTCCGCTTCCTGGGTTCAAGCAATTCTCATGCCTCAGCCTCCTGAGTAGCTGAGACCACAGGCACCCGCCACCACACCCAGCTATTTTTTTGTATTTTTAGTAGAGACAGAGTCTCACCACATTGCCCAGGCTGGTCTCCAACTCCTGAGCTCAGGCAGTCTGCCCACCTTGGCCTCCCAAAGTGCTGCAGTTACAGGCGTGAGCCACTGCACCTGGCCTCATGTTTTTTAAATAATTGCCTTTTATATTTACCCTTTTTGTCATCACTTTAGAATGAAAATTCCCATTTAAATCTGAAAGTTACCTTAATAGTCCTCTTGTGTTATTAGGACAGTATTATTATAGTACTTATTTATTTTATTTTAGATTTAAAGTTATCTTCTCTTTTTCTTTTTTCTTCTGCTGCTTTTAGGGACAATTAAAACTGGGAAACTATGAAACATGGAACATTTTATCCTACCTGAAAGTAAACGAGTAATTGTGAAGCATAAGACACTGAGGCTAATACAACTCTGTCTTCATGTGTTGACTGCCTGGCACATAGTATTCATTCTCTTCCCTTTAACATAGAAGTGTCCAGCTGCGTACAGTCTAGTAACCAGCAACTGTAAACGAACCTGTGCCTCTAACAAGCGATTCTAAACCACCTATGAGTATTTCTTTTAGGGCTCACTTAAATACATGTTTGTATATACTGTATTCTAGCCAGAATAATTTTAGATCTGATCAGGTAGTAGCTAAAATTAGAAAAAAACAAAATAGATGCTTAAAGAATTTGCATCCATTTTTGAGTCTAAATCTTTTAAAATATACTGAGATCCACATCTAGTGAAATGTCAGTGTCAAAATATTATAGATTATAGCTAAAATCCAGATTAATACTCATTTGGGGTTTTTTATAGTGGAACTTCATAGTAATACAAAAAGCAGATTGTCTTCCTGTCTCCGCTGCTCCCACAGTAGGTATTGAAACTGGTAAAATCAGTTTTTTGATAGTGTGTGTATATAAGAAAAAATAGATACACACATTCTTTTTTCTCAGTCAACACATTGATTGAACACTCTGGCAAAGATGCTGTGGTGGATGAGGTTGGAGTTCGAAAGAAGAAGCAAGCGCTGGCCTGGCCTTGAAAGAACCGAAGTCTTTCCCATTCACTTCTCTAGAAAGCTGCCAAGACAGAGGCAGAAAGAAATGGATGATAGTTCTGTCAAGCACACTTCTGTTCTCTTAGAACTTAGAAGTGTTTCTAAGAGAACAGAAGTAATAAGAGAAACAGTTACGTGTGGAATTCAACATCTTTGGTTGGAACGCATTGGCTTTTTTTTTCTTGTTTTGATAGAAATGGAATTAAGCAAAAGTAGTTTTTGTCTTTTCTGTTGTCTTCAAATTTTATGCCTTTTATTTTTAATTTAATCCCGTTCAATTATTTAATTGTTATACATTGACATTAACTGCTGTATTTTGACTTTGTTCAATAATTTTGTTCTTTCAGGGCTAGAAATAAACTTTTTAAAAAAAGTGTGCATTTTTCCCTTTCCTAAACTTTTATTCTTTCTTTTGATCAGCGTAAAAGAATATTTTAATGTCTTTTGATAGCATAAAAGAATATTTAAATGTCTTAATAGGTTTTCAAAGAACATTTAGTATTTTTAGTGATAAATGTTTTAAACCTTTTAATGGTGTTGTGCCATCATTTTGAATTTATTACAAAGCTCCAAAGTAGGAAGGTTTCTAGAAATGTGTGGGCAGTAAACATGAAGTTTTCCTTTTTTTTTTTTTTTTTTTTTTTTTTGAGACAAGTCTCACTCTTTCTTCCAGGCTGGAGTGCAGTGGCGCCATCTCAGCTCACTGCAACCTCTGCCTCCCAGGTTCAAGTGATTCTCCTGCTTCGGCCTCCTGAGTAGTTAGGGGAAGTTTTCCCTTTCTAAATCAAGTTCAGAATAATTTTCTTTATCAATGTTTCTCTATCAGACCCAGGGAAACAGTTCTGATTTGAACACACACCTTGCTGGAGTAATAAAAACCTGATCAGAATTTCTGTGTTAAGTGAACCAAGAAACCTTTTAGAGTGCAATACGTCGTAAGGCATCACTTCATTATGTGAATTAATTTGGAATCTTAGGTACCCTAACATAGGGAACAGCCACAATAATGGTTTACTATCAAAAAGCATAAAATAAGGCCAGGCGTGGTGGCTCACACCTGTAATCCTAGCACTGGGAGGCTGAGACTGGCGGATTGCCTGAGCTCAGGCAGGAGACCAGCCTGGGCAACATGATGAAATCCCATCTCTACTAAAATACAAAAAAAAATCAGCCAGGTGTACTGGCACATGTCTGTAGTCCCAGCTACTTGGGAGGCTGAGGCACAAGAATTGTTTGAACCCGGGAGGTGAAGGTTGCAGTGAGACAAGATCATGCCATTGCACTCCAGCCTGGGTGACAGAGCAAGACTCCTGTCTCAAAAAGAAAAAAAAAAAAAAAAAAAAAAAAAAAAAAAAAAATATATATATATATATATATATTCTGGGTGAGAAGGGGAGGCAATGACTTTGAAATGTATTTGTTACACTATATGGCTGTTTCGTCTTGTTCTAACATTTATATTTCTTTGAACTAATAGCAAATGCTCAAAGCATTGCCTAAGAAAACTTTTAAAAGCCTGTGGTTAATTTCAGAAGCTCTATCTCTAGGGCTTGGCGGGAGGATGGCTCGAGCCTGGGAGGCAGAGGTTGCAGTGAGCCAAGATGGTGCCGCTGTACTCCAGCCTGGGTGACAGAGCAAGGCCCCTGTCTCAAAAAAAAAAGAGTTGGTAATTGCCTATATCTCTATAAAGAGAATTTTATAGTCTCAATAATCCTGATTATAGCTGTTTTACCCATACATCTTAGTTTGGGGTTAGGGAAAAAGACTAAAAATGCTGCATTTCTGGGAAACAATTTGTTCAGAAAATGACAGCATTTATATAAACTTGTGAGTTACGTGAAGAGACTGCTGATCTTCGCCGGGCGCGGTGGCTCCCGCCTGTAATCCCAGCGCTTTGGGAGGCCGAGGCGGGCGGATCACGAGGTCAGGAGATCGAGACCATCCTGGCTAACGTGGTGAAACCCCGTCTCTACTGAAAATACAAAAAATTAGCCGGGCGTGGTGGCAGGCGCCTGTAGTCCCAGCTACTCGGGAGGCTGAGGCTGGAGAATGGCGTGAACCCAGGAGGCGGAGGTTGCAGTGAGCCGAGATCGCGCCATTGCCCTCCAGCCTGGGCGACAGAGCGAGACTCCGTCTCAAAAAAAAAAAAAAGAGACTCCTGATCTTGAAAGGAATGACGCCCGTGGATACGTCATCTCTGGATAGTTGTTAGAAGGTGCCCGTTGCATTCCCTCGTTCATCCGTCCCAGTTTGCTCTGGAGCAGATGCAAACGTCTCACCCTCGTAGTGCTGTAACAGGCCAGATAGAGTGACAGTGCCAGATAGAGTGACAGTGCCATACATTTCTGTTTTTCATTCTTAGACCTGTAGGTATGTACAGCACAGCATCATCAACGCGTTGCCAAAAAACTATTTTCCTCCAATTCTTAATAAACTACTTCACTTTGACTTCTATATTTAAAATAGAAGTATAGGGCCAGGCGCAGTGGCTCACACCTGTAATCCCAGCACTTTGGGAGGCCGAGGTGGGTGTATCTATCACCTGAGGGCAGGAGTTTTAAGACCAGCCTGGCCAACATGGTGAAACCCCGTCTCTACTTAAAATAGAAAATGAGCCGGGCATGGTGGCGGGCGCCTGTAATCCCAGCTACTCAAGAGGCTGAGGCAGGAGAATCGCTTGAACCCGGGAGGCAGAGATTGCAGTGAGCCAAAATCACACCATTGCACTACAGCTTTTTGAGACTCCGTCTCAATAAAATAGAAGTGTACCATTTTCAAAACCTAGTTGATCACGGCCATAAAATTAAGTAATATCTAACAGTACAATCCAACTGTGATTGCTTTAATATATTGTCAGTAAAATCTTTAAGGAGTTTCAGGATTGAAACTAGAAGACATCTTAGTCACATTCAATATTCCTTACATTTTAGTACACTTTACGATTTGCTGCTAGTATCTTTGTTGAGCTGTTTTTCAGTAAACTAAAAATCTTAATCATTTGAGGTTTTAGTATAGATACTGTCACTGTTTTGTTCACACTCTTGGTGCTGTAGGAGTGTAAATGACCATCTCATTTGTTCATCTGTTCATGCTCTATTGGAGCATGCCGTAAGACTGTGGTGTCATTGAAAGTGACCTTTGGCCATGGACTGTTGGATATGTGGATCAGCTACTTTCATATAACTTGCATTGTCAGCAAATACTTTTCCACTTCCCTTCAGCCCTGCGTATTTTACCACGGATAAACGGTGTTCCATTATGCGCCTGCTCTGTCCCATTTCCGTAGTGTCTTTTTTTTATGACAAAGCACAGCTGGTCAAGGTGTTATCATGGGTCTGAGTGCACGAGTGTTTGTTGCTGCACGTTCCCCATCCAGTCACTAAGCAAGACACAGAACTGTATGAAAGCTTATTTTTACTTAGTTTCATCTTAGAGTCACATTTGAACTTGTGAGTTTCTTTTAAATGAAACTGTGTTTAATTTTGAGATTTGCTGCTAGGGGGAGGACTCCTTACGCTTTTTGAAGTTAGTAACAGCCCTCTCTAGTAGAATGTGCACAAAAACGGTTAATGTGAATTGGTGGGCTTGTTTCTGTGCTTTGTTTTGAGTGATAATACAAGGGCCTACATCATAGGGGGTTTTCAGGGTTAAATTCATTCATTTCAAATAAAATATTTAGAATGATGTCTAGCACAAAGTCAACATTTGATAAATGTAGTCTCCTCTCATTGCTTTTTTCCCCTCTGATATTGCGGGAGCAGATGCAGAAGTAACAGGATGCTGCACAGAGCTATTTGCACTTTTCTCCCATCTCTCGTATTTAAAAAATGGATGCATTATGGAAATTATGCTGCAAATATTACACAGCTTTTTTTTTTTTTTTTCTAACACAGGATCTCACTCTGTCGCCCAGGCTGGAGTGCAGTGGCACAATCTCGGCTCTCTGCAATCTCTGCCTCCTGGATTCAAGCGATTCTCCTGCCTCAGCCTCTGAGTAGTTGGGACTACAGGCACGTGCCATTACCGCCCAGCTAATTTTTTGTATTTTAAGTAGAGGCGGGGTTTCACCATGTTGGCCAGGCTGGTGTTGAACTCTTGACCTCAAGTGATCCACCCGCCTCAGCCTCCCAAAGTACTGGGATTACAGGCGTGAGCCACCACGTCTGGCTGTTCCACAGCTTTACACAAAGAAGGCCCCCAGTACATCCCTATTTGGTCACACAGTGTGAAATTGTGTATTTTACAGTATTGCATAGTTGGCAATATGAGACTGTGCATTGTAGTTTGGATAATCACTTCCCTGAAGGGATATTGCAGATAAAAAAGTTTAATTTGAGAATTGGTTCTTGAAGTTTTTGTTTGTTGTTTTTTGAGACAGAGTCTCACTCTGTCACCCAGGCTGGAACGCAGTGGCATGATCTCTGCTCACTGCAACCTCCGCCTCCCGGATTCAAACAATTCTCCTACCTCGGCCTCCCAGGTAGCTGAGACTACAGGAGTGAGCCACCACACCCAGCTAATTTCTGTATTTTAAGTAGAAGCAAGGTTTCACCTTGTTGGCCAGGCTGGTCTTGAACTCCTGACCTCAAGTGATCCACCACCTCAGCCTCCCAAAATGCTGGGATTACAGGCGTGAGCCACCACACCCAGCTGTTACAGAGCTTTACACAAAGAAGGCCCCCAGTACATCCCTATTTGGCCACACATTGTGAAATTGTGTATTTTACAGTATTGCATAGCTGGCAATATGAGACTGTGCATTGTAGTTTGGATAATCACTTTCCTGAAGAGAGATTGCAAAGAAAAAAATTTAATTCAAGAATTGGTTTTTGAAGTTTTTGTTTGTTTGTTGTTTTAAATAGAGACAAGGTCTCACTATGTTGCCCAGGCTGGTCTCAAACTCCTGAACTCAAGTGATCCTCCCGCCTCGGCCTCCCAAAGTGCTAGGATTACAGGTATGAGCGACCACACCCAGCCAAGAATTGTTTTATGTATCTATTAGAAATAAGTTTGTAAACCACAGGTTCCAAAGTGTTAGTACCTTTAATGTAACAGGAAGTTCAGTGTTTGTCAGTCTGGGGTTGTCCTGGGACAACCAGGGAGTCCAGCAACCCCACCAGCACTTGGGACTCCACGTTGTCACTCTATCATTCTTAGCATGTAGGCCTGTATCCTTAATGCCTGTTGCAACATAGATACTAGATGGCTGGTGCACCTCCAACCTCTTGTCCGGGTGTCAAGCAGGAGAAAGAGAGATGGCAAAAGGCAACGTGGAAAGCACAAGGGAGTAGTGCTTATATCGAGAGAACACAAATTTTCCCAGAAACCCTCAACTTCTGTCCCACTGGCCAGAACTGTCATTTGGCACCTCATAGCTGCAAGAGAGTCTAGGGAAGAGTGTTTCTCCAGATAAAATGAGACTCGTTAGTGAAGAAGGAGGGATGGAAATAGTATATAATTGTGACTACTATAGTTTGAGTGTGAAAATTGCTCTATTGGAATTTTTTTGTAGCTCTTCCCCTACTATTTCTACAGAGCACTGCCCCGTCTGTTGACTCCTTTGATACTACATGGTTGATGGGGTGCTCACTTTTAGATATGAGAAAAGGGGCTAGAGCATTAATCTCTTCAGTGTTATCCAGGTAGAATTTCAGCTCTTCTGGGTTAAGGAACTGGAAACTTTTCAACTCTCTAGGCCTCATCTCAGCTAGAGAGCTAGTTTTGAAGAAACGTAATTGCTTATGAAGTCATAAATGCAGTTTAAATGTAATTGGCAGTGTTGCAAGTTTAGTGATCCATCGTGGGAGGAGACCACAAGTATCTGCTACAAATTCCTGATTGAGCAATTGATTGATTTAGTTTAGCAGGAGCCTAGGTGACCCTGAGCAAATAGTCCTTCATGGGTGTTCCTGGCCCCTAAGTGTCCTCTAGGGGGTGCTGCTCCCACTGTCATGCTCCTCAAAGATGGAGCCTGCCAGAGGTGAAAGCCCAATTCCTGCCATTGCCCTGCTATCCTCGGGTTTATGTCCCATTCTGGAAGAACTCAAATGTAACATTATTCAATGTTACAAGCAGTCTCACTGTTCAGAAACATGGAGTTCTTTTGGTTCTTGAGTCAAACTTGGTATCAGCAAAGCTACATTCTCATAGGGAGAGAAAACAAGTCTGGGTGTCTCCCCAACTTCCTAGTGCTCCAGAGAGCCTGGCTCCCTGTAATAATTCTTATTCTTAAAAAAAAAGTAACTACATAATAGAGAAATACATTCTGATTTATAAAATTTCAGCCATTCAGACAAAAGAAAGCCTCTTCAATCCCAGTCCAAGTCCCCGTTCCAAAGGAAATCTCTTACTAGTTTCCATCTTTTCAGACCTTTCTCTTTGCATTATACCTAGATACTGGTCAGTTTTGTAGACCAAGCAGTTCTTGAAGGCTGCAATCAAAGACAATTTATGTTTGTTTCCCTCTCTTCTAACCCATTTTACAGGGGTAGTTCTTCCCCATTCCCTGGATGAAATTTAGAGCAAACACCCAGGCAGTTTTACCAATGAGTTCTAAGAATATTCAAAGAAAAAATTCCAATCCTGCACAAAGTATTTGAGGATATAGAAAACATTCCCCAAATTCTATTATAAGGATGGAGTAGCCATGATACCAAAATAATTGAAGAAGAAAATTATAGGATAGGCCAGGCGCAGTGGCTCACAACTATAATCCCAGCACTTTGGGAGGCTGAGGCAGGTGGATCACCTGAGGTCAGGAGTTTAAGACCAGCCTGGCCAACATGGTGAAACTCCCTCTCTTTAGCTGGGCATGGTGGCATGCACCTATAATCCCAGCTACTCAGGAGGCTGAGACAGGAGAATCACTTTAACCCAGGAGGTAGAGGTTGCAGTGAGCCGAGATCGTGCCGTTGCACTCCAGCCTGGGCAACAAGAGTAAAACTCCGTCTCAAAAAAAAAAAAAAAAAGTATAGGATAATCTCATAAATACAAATGTGCAATTATTAAATATATTACTAGCAAACCGAATCTAGCAATGTATGAAAGAGGTAGTGCATCCTAAACAAGTAGGCTTATGCATGTAAAAATCAAGATAATTTACAGTATTAGTAGATTATCTGGGCATCTCAACAGATTAAAGAGAGTGGCTGAGCCCAGTGGTTCACACCTGTAATCCCAGCACTCTGAGAGGACAACACAGGAGAATCACTTGAGGCCAGGCTCAAGACCAGCATGGGCAACATAGTGAGACCCTGTCTCTAAAAAACCTAATAAAAAAACATTAGCCAGGTATGGTAGCACACCTATAGTCCTGGCTACTCTGGAGGCTGAGCTAGGAGAATGGCTTGAGCCCAGGAGTTCAAGGTTGCAGTGACCTGTGATTGCACCATTGCACTCCAGCCCACATGACAGAGTGACACTGTCTCTTAAAAAAAAAAAAAAAAAAGCATTGGCTGGGCACGGTGGCTCACGCCTGTAATCCCAGCACTTTAGGAGGCCGAGGTGGGTGGATCACCTGAGGTAAGGAGTTCGAGACCAGCCTGACCAACATGGTGAAACCCTGTATCTACTAAAAATACAAAAATTAGCCGGGCATGGTGGCATGTACCTGTAATCCCAGCTACTCGGGAGGCTGAAGCAGCAGAATCACTTGAACCTGGGAGGCAGAGGTTGCAGTGAGCTGAGACCTCTCCATTGCACTCCAGCTTCGGCAAAAAGAGCAAAACTCCATCTCAAAAAAAAAAAAAGCATTTAGTAAAATTCAGTATCAATTCATGATTAAAAATATATATTTTAGCAAATTAGGAGTGAACTTTTTTTTTCCGAGATAGAGTCTTGCTCTGTTGCCCAGACTGCAGTGCAGTGGCATGATCTCAGCTCACTGCAACCTCCGCCTCCCAGGTTCAAGCAATTCTCCTCCCTCAGCCTCCCGAGTAGCTGGGATTACAGGTGTGAGCCACCACACCTGGCTAATTTTTGTATTCTTAGTAGAGACGGGGTTTCACCATGTTGGCCAGGCTGGTCTTGAACTCCTGACCTCAGGTGATCCACGTGCCTCGGCCTCCGAAAGTTCTGGGATTACAGTGAAGCCACTGTGCCAGCCAGGAGTGAACTGAATCACTTGAACCCGGGAGGCTGAGGTTGTGGTGAGCCGAGATCACACCATTGCACTCCAGCCTGGGCAACAAGAGCGAAACTCCATCTCAAAAAAAAAAAAAAGAATTTGAAAGCAATGGCTGGGCACAATGACTCACGGCTATAATCCCAGCACTTTGGGAGGCCGAGGCAGGTGGATCACCTGAGGTCAGGAGTTTGAGATCAGCCTGGCCAACATGGTGAAACCTGGTCTCTACTAAAAATACAAAATTACCCGGGCGTGGTGGTGGGCACCTGTAATCCTGGAGGCTGAGGCAGGAGAATCACTTGAACCTGGGAGGTGGAGGTTTTAGTGAGCCGAGATCACGCCACTGCACTCCAGACTGGGCAACAGAGTGAGACTTGGTCTCGAAAAAAAAAAAAAAAAAAGGAATTGGAAAGCAAGATAAAATCTCATTATTTTCAGATAAGGTTGATATGATAAACTATTAAAATTAAGAAATTTAGCAAGTTTGCTGTATGCAAAATCAGTGTGCAAGAGTCTATTATATTGCTAAGCACTAGCAACAAATAGAACACATAATCTTAAAAATCTACCATTTATAACAGATCAAAAATACAAAGTACCTAGAAATGGTCACTCCTGTAATCCCAGCACTTTGGATCACCTGAGGTCAGGAGTTCCAGACCAGCCTGGCCAACATGGTGAAACCCCATCTCTACAAAAATACAAAAATTAGTTGGGCATGGTGGCGTGCGCCTGTAATCCCAGCTACTCAGGAGGCTGAGGCAGGAGAATTGCTTGAACCCAGGAGGCAGAGGTTGCAGTGAGCCGAGATCGCACCATTGCACTCCAGCCTGGGGTGATGGAGTGAGACTCTGTCTCAAAAAATAAATAAATAAACAAAAAGGGAGGATTTTACTGAAAGATTTTAAATGTTGGATTGGAAACTATTTTATGGATAGTTGAAATTGCACTTCAAAAGAGAAACAATTTAATTCAATTTAAGCCAGATAAATGAAACATTGGTTCAAAGTCAGAAATACATAGTCCTCTAAATTTTAGTATAAAGAGACACTTTACAGAAGCCATAAAGTAGCCTGTAGAGGCCAGCACCGGGGCTTATGCCTGTAATCCCAGCACTGTGGGAGGCTGAGGTGGGTGGATCACCTGAGGTCAGGAGTTCAAGACCAGCCTGGGCAACATGGTGAAACCCTGTTTCTACTAAAAATACAAAATTAGCCGGGTGTGGTGGCGCACTCCTATAGTCCCAGCTACTTGGGAGGCTTAGGCAGGAGAATCGCTTGAACCCAGGAGGTGGAAGTTGCAGTGAGCTGAGATCATGCCATTGCACTCCAGCCTGGGCACAAAGAGTGAAACTCCATCTCAAAATAATAATAATAATAATAATAATAATAATAATAATAATATTCAAAAAGGAGAATAGTTGGGAAGCCTATAAATTTCAGCCTATCCTAATTCAGGGATCCTGCTTCTAGGAGGAAGAAAAAAAGGCATCCAATAGAGATGAATGAACGTTGTATACCCCCTTTGCCTCCTTTTCAGGATAATTTAGTGCAAACTTTAATACTCGCCATTCAGATGCTCTTCAGTCATAACTCCTAAACATGCTGAGGGCCTGTTGTGTGTCTGAATTAGTGGATAGGGAAATGAGGCACAAAAGGCAATTTTGAAGACTGGCCTCTTTCAGAATTGCAGAGTTTGGTGGACTTTATTTTTTTCTTTTTTTGGGGGGTGGGGGGCGCAATCTCACTCTGTCACCCAGGCTGGAGTGCAGTGGTGTAATCGGCTCACTGCAAGCTCCGCCTCCCAGGTTCAAGCGATTCTCCTGCCTCAGCCTCCCCAGTAGCTGGACTACAGGCGCCCACCACCATGCCTGGCTAATTTTTGTATTTTCAGTAGAGACGTTTCAGCATATTGGCCAGGCTGGTCTTGGACTCCTGACCTTGTGATCCGTCCGCCACAGCCTCCCAAAGTGCTGGGATTACAGGTGTGAGCCCCTGCACCTGGCCTTTGGTAGACTTTATATTGAGGAGCTTTTGTGGCTGAGTAAACTCTGGACTTTTGGAAGGAGAAGAGGTAGAAAGGTGTTCATGGAAAGGGACCCAATCCCCCAGGAGAGGGTTCTTGGACCTCATGCAAGAAATAATTCCAGGGGAGTCCACGGAGTAAACTGAAAGCAAGTTTATTAAGAAAGTAAAGGAATAGGGCCGGGCGGGGTGGCTCACACCTGTAATCCCAGCACTTTGGGAGGCCGAGGCAGGCGGATCACCAGGTCAAGAGATCGAGACCATCCTGCCAACATGGTGAAACCCCATCTTTACTAAAAATACAAAAATTAGCTGGGAGTGTTGGCATGCGCCTGTAATCCCAGCTACTCGGGAGGCTGAGGTAGGAGAATCACTTAAACCCGGGAGCAGAGGTTGCAGGGAGCCGAGACTGTGCCATTGAGCTCCTCCTGCCTGGGCCACAAGAGCAAAACTCCGTCTCAAAAAAAAAGGAAAAGAAAGGAATAGAGCACGTCTGCTCCATAGGCAGCGCGGCAGCTTGGGCTGCTTGACTGAATATACTTACAGTTATGCTAAACAAGGGGTGGATTGTTCATGAGTTTTCCAGGAAGGGGGTGAGCAATTCCCGGAACTGAGGATTCCTCCCCTTTTTAGACCATACAGTGTAATTTCCTGACGTTGCCATGTCATTTGTAAACTGTCATGGTGCTGGCGGGAGTGTCCTTCAGCAGCTAATGCATTATAATTAGCGTCTAATGAACAGTGAGGACCACCAGAGGTCACCTCATTGCCGTCTTGGTTTTGGTGGGTTTTGGCTGGCTTGGTAACACATCTTGTTTTATCAGCAGGGTCTTTATGACCTGTATCTTGTGCTGACCTCCAGGCCTCAGCCTTATTTTAACCAGTCCTTATTCAAGATGGAGTCACTCCGGTTCAAACACCTCTGACAAAGGGATAAAGAAAAACGTGGTCTGCAGATTGTTGCAAATGAACCTAAGCCAGGTTTGATCATGCCTCATTTTTGTTTGGTTGTTTTTTTCCTTTTTTTTTTTTTTTTTGAGACAGGGTTTCACACTGTCACTCGGGCTGGAGTGCAGTGGTGCGATCTCAGCTCACTGTAAACTCCACCTCCCAGGCTCAAGTGATCCTAACACCTCAGCCTCTCAAGTAGGGACTACAGCCACCACACCCGGCTAATTTTTGTGTTTTTTTGTAGACGGGTTTCACCATGTGACCCAGGCTGGTCTTGAACCCCTAGCCTCAAGTGATCCACCGCTTCAACCTTCTAAAGTGCTTGGATTACAGGTGTGAGCCACCTCACCCGGACATGCTTAGGTTGTTTCTGTAAAGTTATAGCTACCTATGGAGTTTGAGGTGGTGAGGGTTAACTAACTTCTGACAACCCCCCTGCCAGATTATAATGAAAGCAAGTCGCAGACCAAATCTTGTCACACACCTGAAAGCTCATTTAAGCAAACATTTGTCAGCAAAAGTGTTTGTTCAGCCTATCCTGTAGCTCACTATAATCCATGCTCTCTGTCCCAAATGCTCTGTCCACAACTTTGCATGAAAAGTTCACTTGAGGCAGAGAGGGAAACGTGCCAGGGGCCAGGATTCTGTTACCCTTAAAGATGGCATCATGTAACCAGACATCCTCTTAACTAGTGGCTGGTCACAGGATTATGTAACGATGGAGCCCTGAGGGCCATTCCTAAGGGGTCGCGTTGCTGACCTCACTAGATTCTTACACCTTGTTTATGCAAAGGCAGCAGGAGTCTCTCAAATAACTTTAGCCAATGGAAGGATCCCGAACACCTTTCATTTCACTGATGAGAGCCCACTGATGACCTCATTACCAATTAACAAGCAACTCAGTTCATCAGGAAACAGCCATTTCTTTTTCCATTTATTTATTTATTTATCGAGACAGTGTCTAGCTCTGCTGCCTAGGCTGGAGGGCAGTGGTGTGATCATGGCTCACTATAGCTTTGACCTCCTGGGCTCAAGCAATCCTTCCAGTTCAGCTTCCTGAGTAACTGGGAGCAGAGATGCTCGCCACTACAGCTGGCTACTTTTTTTATTTTTTGTACGGATGGGGTCTCACTATGTTGCCCAGGCTTGTGACTGCACAATGGGTTCCCCTTGCCCGTTGCCTAGGCAGAACTGATACCTCACGACAGGGGAACTGCAGTACAGAAAGAGTAATTCACGCAGAGCCGGCTGTACAGGAGATCGCGGTTTTATTATTATTCAAATCAGTCTCTCCAGGCATTGGGGGATCAGTGTTTTTAAGGATAATTTGGTGGGTGGGGGAAGGCCAGTGAGAGAGTGTTGATTGGTTGGGCCGGAGAGGAAATCATGGGAAATTGAAGCTGTCTTCTTGCGCTGAGTCAGTTCCTGGGTCGGGGCCACAAGATCAGATGAGCCAGTTTATCCATCTGGGTGGTGCCAGCTGATCCATCAAGTGTGGAGTCTGCAAAGTATCTCAAGCGCTGATCTTAGGAGCAGTGTAGGGAGGGTCAGAATCTTGTAGCCTCCAGCTGCATGGCTCCTAAACCATCATTTCTAATCTTGTGACTAATGTTAGTCTAGTCCCCCGGCAAGAAGGAGGTCTGCTTTGGGAAAGGGCTGTTACCGTCTTTGTTTTAAACTATAAATTAAGTTTCCCCCCAAGTTAGTTCAGCCTACGCCCAGGAATGAACAAGGGCAGCTTGGAGGTTAGACGCAAGATGGAGTCGGTTAGGTCGGATCTCTTTCACTGACTCAGTTACAATTTTGCAATAGCGGTTTCAGGCTGATCTCAAACTCCTAGGCTCAAGTGATCCTCCCGCCTCGGCCTCCCAAAGTGTTGGGATTACAGGTGTGAACCCCCACACCCAGCCAAAAAATCTATTTCTGATCATCACTCAGCTTGTTAACTGAGCCTCAGGCGTTGATTGAGATGTAGATAATAGAAATGCTTGCAGTACTGCACTCCAGTCTGGAACAACAGAGCAAGACCCTATCTCTTAAAAAAAAAAAAAAAGTGCCAGTAGTAGCTGCCTCTAGTGTGTAAGTAACCTTTCTGACTAGACACTGGCTACCCTTATGTGTGAATTTTCTTTCTTTCTTTTTTTTTTTTGAGACGGAGTTTTGCTCTTGTTGCCCAGGCTGGAGTGCAATGGTGTGATCTTGGCTCACCACAACCTCTGCTTCCCAGGTTCAGGCAATTCTCCTGCCTCAGCCTCCTCAAGGCTCACTTGAACCCGAGTAGCTGGGATTACAGGCATGCCGGCTAATTTTGTACTTTTAGTAGAGATGGGGTTTCTCCATGTTGGTCAGGCTGGTCTCAAACTCCTGACCTCAGATGATCCACCTGCCTCGGCCTCCCAAAGTGCTGGAATTCCAGGTGTGAGCCACCGTGCCCGGCCTTCTTCTTCTTTTTTTTTTTTTAAGACAGAGTCTCGCTCTGTTGCCCAGGCTGGAGTGCAGTGACACAATCTCAGCTCACTGCAACCTCTGCCTCCCAGGTTCAAGCAATTTCCAGCGAATTTTTGTATTTTTGGTAGAGACAGGGTTTCACTATGTTGGCCAGGCTGGTCTCAAACTCCTGACCTCAAGTGACCCAGCCACCTTGGCCTCCCAAAGTGTTAGGATTAGAGGCGCGAGCCACTGCGCCCGGCCTGAATTTTCTAATAAAACAATGCACGCCATCTTTGCTAAAATCTTTTAAAGTAAATTGCAGGCATCATAATAGAAGTTGGTTCTTAATATTTGTAGTTTAACTGCTTATTAGCAGTAATTTGTAGTTGCTTGTAATTTTACTAAGGTAGGAATTTAATTTTGTGACCTAGAAGATTGATGGGTAGGAAGGAGGATCACTTGGCTTAGTAAATGAAGTTAGCCAGTCACTCTTCATCCAAACTTTCTTCTTGGCATTTAAGCACTAATTCCCATTAATGTTCAACTTAAATTTTCAGTTGAACTTTAGTGATTTTTTGGGGGGGAACATTATGTTATTTAGGGCTATTTGGGAATTTATGATGGTATCAGGATGTCACAGGTTTATTGTGCCATAAAATTTTGCCTATGGCAGACTGTGCCTCCAGTCTTAGTCCCAGAAGTTAAGTCAGGTGTCTTTACCTCTAAGATTCCAGTTTAAAAAAGAAAGAAAAAATAAATAAGATACAATACAGGCCGGGCGCAGTGGCTCACACCTGTAATACCAGCACTTTGGGAGGCCGAGGCAGGATGATCACAAGGTCAGGAGATCGAGACCATCCTGACTAACACGGTGAAACCCTGTCTCTACTAAAAATACAAAAATATTAGTTGGGCGTGGTGGCGGGCGCCTGTAGTCCCAGCTACTCAGGAGGCTGAGGCAGGAGAATGGTGTGAACCTGGGAAGCAGAGCTTGCAGTAAGCTGAGATCACACCGCTGCACTCCAGCCTGGGCAACAGGGCGAGACTCCGTCTCAAAAAAAAAAAAAGATACAATACAGTTCCAATTTAGAGCTGGGCATTGTGGTTCACACCTGTAATCCCAGCTACTTGGGAGGCCGAGGCAGGAAGGGAGGATTGCTTACACCCAAGAGTTAGAGACCAATGTAAGCAACAAATTGAGATGCCTGTCTCTAACGACAACAAAAAAATCCAGTTCAGTATGGCTAAATTATACAGTCCATGTCCTGTGATGCTTACATGAGTTCTTGGGGTCACGACATTAGCCCCATTAAATGTTCCACAAGGCCATGAGCATTTTTTCGAAGACAAAATATTTTAAGGACTAGAGTCTTTAAAGGATTTTTGGCTCTGTCAGTCTCACGCTGTCACCCAGGCTGGACTGCAGGGGCACAATCTCGGCTCACTGCAACCTCCGCCTTCCGGGTTCAAGTGATTCTCCTGCCTCAGCCTCCCGAGTAGCTGGGATTACAGGCACCTGCCACCATGCCCAGCTAACTGTTTTTTAGTAGAGACGGGGTTTCACCACATTGACCAGGTTGGTGTGGAACTCCTGACCTCAAGTTATCCTCCTACCTCGGCCTCCCAAAGCGCTGGGATTACAGATGTGAGCCACGGCGTCTGGACTGTTTGTAAACTTTTTGCCAACATTTTGGATGAACGCTGCTTATTCCTGTGAATCAAGGGGTGATCTCCTGCAGCCTGGAAGAAACAAAAAGGGATGGGTAGTAAAAATCTGGATCAATATACTAGTTCCGGACAATTATCCTGCAAATTCTGCCAGGTAATGAAAGTGAGTAGGGTCTCCATAACCTGGAGGTTTCTTTGTTTTGGAAAATAAAACCAAGTAACTTCATAACCCCCAGGGGAAAATTTTTATATCTTGGCAAGTAAAATTTTAGATGGAAATAATCTACTATGCCACCCTTGCAGGAATTGCTATTCTCACTCTACTATTTGTAGTAGAGCTATATAACAGTAGCACTTTCTAATTGAATTTTTTTTTTGAGACGTTGTCTTGCTCTGTTGCCCAGGCTGGAGTGCAGTGGCACAATCTTGGCTCACTGCAACCTCTGTCTCCCAGGTTCAAGTGATTCTCCTGCCTCAGCCTCCTGAGTAGCTGGGATCACAGGCACCTGCCACCACGCCTGGCTAATTTTTGTATTTTTAGTAGAGACGAGGTTTTACCATGTTGGCCAGGCTGGTCTCAAACTCCTGACCTCAAGTGATCTGCCCACCTTGGCCTCCCAAAGTGCTGGGATTACAGGTGTGAGCCACCATGCCCAGCCATGTTTTGCTCAATTATTATACCTATAGCAGGGATAATAGTTACCAACAAAAAGGAAGCATGAAAATTTTACTATCACTGAGTCTGCTAGAACTTCTTATTGGGTTTGGTAATATGTCACACCCTGGCTATGCAAAGAAGGTTATAAAAGAAAGAGATTTTATGTAAGAAAGGACCTTGTATGGTAAATACTCGTCCTAAAAAGAATAGTTGGTTGTTTTTGTTTTGTTTTGTTTTTTGAGACAGAGTCTTGCTATGTTGCCCAGGCTTAAGTGCACTGGCACAATCTCAGCTCACTGCAACCTCCACCTCCCAGGTTCAGGCGATTCTGCTGCCTCAGCCTCCCAAGTAGCTGGGATTACAGGCGTGTGCCACCATGCCCAGCTAATTTTTTTTTTTTTTTTTTTTTAGTAGAAATAGGGTTTCACCATATTGGCCAGGCTGGTCTTGAACTCCTGATCTCAAGTAATACACCCGCCTCAGCCTCCCAAAGTGCTAGGATTATAGGTGTGAGCCACTACACCTGGCCTCGTTGTTTAAAAAAAAGGATGTTCAAGACAAGTCGGAAAGTTTAAGCATGTCTTAGATGGTCTGTGGAAGTCATGAAGGGATTCATAATTTAGGAATTATGCAGGAAAGATTTAGCCAAAGTTAACACTAAAGTTACCCTAGCCACCCAAATCCAGTGCCACTTATCCTAAAAGGAATGTTACTTTTATTTTGTTATTTTTACTTTTTGGCCAGGCACAGTGGCTCACGCCTGTAACCCCAACACTTTGGGAGGCCAAGGTGGGCAGATCACTTGAGGTCAGGATTTTGAGACCATCCTGGCCAGCATGGTGAAACCCCATCTCTACTAAAAATTTAAAAATTACCTGGGCATGGTGGCATGTGCCCATAATCCCAGCTACTTGGGAGGCTGAGGCAGGAGAATTGCTTGAACCTGGGAGGTGGAGGTTGCAGTGAGCTGAGATTGCACCACTACACACCAGCCCAGGCAACAGAGCAAAACTCCATCTCAAAAAAAAAAAAAAAAAAGAAAAAGAAAAAGGAATGTTGCTTTTATATTAACATTTCAGCAACATCTGGTGGAGGCAAGCCAGTGTTAGAACCCATCAGAGTGGCTGACAGCAGTCAAACTCCAAACGCTGCTTCAGACAGAACCACGCATGGACACGCCTTTCTTCCGAGGACCCTTAGATTGGCCCCAGGAGGAGCCCTAGCTGCTGTTCCCCACGCAGTGCCCCTTTTCAGCAAGAAGCAGCCGGAAAGAGTCTTTATCCAACACCCGCTAACAATAGTTAGGGTTACACCACTCCAGAGCGGGGGAATGATACAGGAGTTAAGAAGAAATTACTTAGGCAGATAGTGAGGGTATGGAAGTCTTCAGTAAGGTTTTCCTTTTAGTGAAAAACAGCCCCAAATCATTTTCCTTTCTAACAAAGAACAGCCTGTAAAATTGAGCTGCAGACATACATGCCAGCAGTTGTGCCAATCATGTTCGAGATGGCGGCTCCCTCTTCCCTTCTCTGCCAGCCACGTGTACAGTAAGGAGCAGACAAGATGGCACTGGCCAAGGGGACAGTTCGCTTGCATAATGAGATTAGGGTGGGGCGGCCAGCCTTCCCCGCACATTGTGTAAATATCATACCTAATTGAACCAATCTGTGAGCCCCATGTAAATCAGACACCCCCTCCTCAAGCCAGACTATAAAATCCAGCACATCTGCTGCTGGCCAGACTTTTCCTCTCGTTAAGTCCCCTCTCTCTCACTAGAGAGAGAGCTGTTTTATTTTCTCTTTCTTTTGCCTATTAAACCTCTGCTCATTCACTTAAGGTGCTTAGCACAGTGTCTGTAAATAGAAATCCCTCAAAACATATTCGTTATTATTTTTAACTTTATTTTAAGATAATGTTATTTATTTATTTATTTATTTTATTTTATTTTATTTTTTTTTGAGTTTCACTCTTGTCACCCAGGCTGGAGTGCAATGGCGTGATCTCGGCTCACTGCAACCTCCACCTCCTGGGTTCAAGCGATTCTCCTGCCTCAGCCTCACGAGTAGCTGGGACTACAGGTGCCCACCACCACCCAGCTAATTTTTGTATTTTTAGTAGAGATGGGGTTTCACCATGTTGGCCAGGCTGGTGTCGAACTCCTGACCTCAGGGGATCCTCCCGCCTCTGCCTCCCAAAATGCAGAGATTACAGGCGTGAGCTAACATGCCCGGTCAAGAGAAGAGTTAACTCTTAAAAAGACTGTTATCATGTCAGATAAGAACAGCAACTTTGTAGCTTTCTGAACCCTCTCAACTTGCCATGCAGAATACCACAGCCTTACCAGATGGACATGGCAGATGAAGGAGTTCAAAACAGTGGAGCAGCTAGAAACTTAAAGGATCAATTCTAGAAATGAGAAAGTCACAGTTGGGTTGGATTCAAAATCTGAGTATAAACTCTGCCTAAATTCCTGGCTGGCTGGCCATACTACAAAATGTACACAGGAGCTCCAGGGACCCCTACAAAATGGCAAGGAGGAACTGAGTGGGGGCCAGGGGTGGGGGCACCCGGGATCCTACCTCAAAGACAGAAGTGATCCTGGTGAGATTTATGAGTTTTATACTGAGTCTGTTCCTCAACCCACACACAATTCAGGTGGCAAAAAGTGAAAGCATTATTGGCTTGAAGGGTCCTGAGACAGAACTTGGGGCTCATAAGACAACATGAAATGTAGAGGGTGTGCCCCATGCACAATCTGTTACCCCTCAGCTCGAAATCTATTATTCTTTGCCCTGTAAGGCATAAGAAGAGGTAGGTTCGCTTCCTGGTTCCTGTGTACTTTCTTCCCCTGTGATATGACTCCCAGAAGCACTCAGGAGGATCAGTGGTGCTTATTCTCTCTCTCTCTTTTTTTTTTGACATGGAGTCTCGCTCTGTCGCCCAGGCTGGAGTGCGGTGGCGTGATCTCAGCTTACTGGAACCTCCACCTCCCAGGTTCAAGTGATTCTCCTGCCTCAGCCTCCTGAGTAGCTGGGATTACAGTCACGTGCCACCACGCCTGCCTAATTTTTTTGTATTTTTAGTGGAAACAAGGTTTCACCGTGTTAGCCAGGATGGTATCGAACTCCTGACCTCGTGATCCATCTGCCTCAGCCTCCCAAAGTGCTGGGATTACAGGCGTGAGCCACTGCACCTAGCCTTTTTTTTTTTTTCGACAGAGTTTTGCTCTGTCACCCAGGCTGGATTGCAGTGGCACAATCTTGGCTGACTGCAGCCTCCGCCTTCCAGGTTCAAGCAATTCTCCTGCCTCAGTCTCCCAAGTAGCTGAGATTACAGGCGTCTGCCACCACACCTAGCTAATTTTGGTATTTTTAGTAGAGACGGGTTTTTGCCATGTTGGCCAGGCTGGTCTCGAACTCCTGACCTCAGGTGATCCACCCGCCTCAGCCTCCCAAAGTGTTGGGATTACAGGCGTGAGCCAGTGTTGGGATTACAGGCATGAGCCACCACACCCAGCCCTAGACAGGGTAATTATGTAAGAAAAAGAAATAAAAAATATCCATATTGAAGAGAAAGAAATAAAACTTTGTCAATTAACAGACGGCATGACCTTGTATGAAGAAAATCATGGCTGGGCACAGTGGCTCATGCTTGTAAATCCCAGCACTTTGGGAGGCTGAGGTGGGAGAATCATTTGAACCCAGGAGTTCAAGACCAGCCTGGGCAACATAGGGAGACCCCATCTCTACTGAATGAATGAAAGAATGAATGAAGGAGCAAGCCAGGTGTAGTGGTGCACGTCTGTAGTCCCCGCTACTCAGAAGGCTGAGGTGGGAGGATCTCTTAAGACCCGGAAGTTGAGGCTGCAGTAAGCCACAATCCACAGTCCCACGCTGCACTCCAGCCTGGGTGACAGAGCAGGACTCTACCTAAAAATATATATATATATAAGTAAAGAAAATCCTAAGGAATCCACGCACATACAAAAATATTACAACTAATAAATGATTTCAGCGAGGTTTGAGGACACAAGATCAATAAACAAAAAGCTACAATAATCAAGAGTGTGGTACTAACATAAAAATAGACATATAGGCCAGGTGCGATGGCTCACGCTTGTAATCCCAGCACTTTGGGAGGCCGAGGTGGGCAGATCACCTGAGGTCAGGAGTTTGAGACCAGTCTGGCCAACATGGCGAAAATCCGTCTCTACTAAAAATATAAAAATTAGCCGGGAGTGGTGGCGGGTGCCTGTGATCCCAGCTACGCAGGAGGCTGAGGCAGGAGAATCGCTTGAACCTGGGAGGCGGAGGTTGCAGTGAGTGGAGATTGTGCCATTGCGCTCCAGCCTGGGCAACAGAGCAAGACTCTGTCTCAAAAAAAAAAAAAAAAAAAGAAAGAAAGAAACAAAAGTGTTTTCAACAAATGGTGCTGGGACAACCGAATATTCATATGCAAAAGAATGAACTTGGACCCTTCCTTATACCATCTACAAACATTCCAAATGCATCACAGGTGTACTTGTAAGAGACAAAATTAGAAAACACTTAGAATAAATCATAGGAGTAAACCTTCATGACCTCCAGTGAGGCAATCATTACTTAGACATGAGACCGAAAGCACAAGGGACAAAAGAAAAAAATAGATAAATTGGACTGGACAAAATGTAAAAGTCTTATGCTGCAGATAATATCATTAAGAAAGTGAGGTGTGGGGCGCGGTGGCTCACGCCTGTAATCCCAGCACTTTGGGAGGCCGAGGCGGGCGGATCACTTGAGGTCAGGAGTTTGAGACAGCCTGGCCAACATGGTGAAACACCATCTCTACTAAAATACAAAAATTAGCCAGGCATGGTGGCACACACCTATAATCCCAGCTACTTGGGAGGCTGAAGCACGAGAATTGCTTGAACCCGGGAGGTGGAGGTTGCAGTGAGCCGAGATCATGCCACTCACTCCAGCCTGGGTGGTAGAGTGAGACTCCATCTCAAAATAAATAAATACATAAATAAAAATAAAAAAACACAGAAAGGGAAAAAATATTTGCAACTCATACATATGATAAAGTGTTTGTATCCAGCATCGAGACCATCCTGGCTAACACGGTGAAACCCCGTCTCTACTAAAAATGCAAAAAATTAGCCGGGCGAGGTGGCAGGCGCCTGTAGTCCCAGCTACTCGGGAGGCTAAGGCAGGAGAATGGCAGGAACCCCGGGGGGTGTAGCCTGCAGTGAGCCGAGATCGCGCCACTGCACTCCAGCCTGGGCGACAGCGAGACTCCGTCTCAAAAAAAAAAAAAAGTATTTGTATCCAGAATATATACCAATATGAGTTGATGTATTGATATATACCAATATTGACCAATATGTATCTAGAATATATATCAGTTAGTTTTTTAAAAGTTGGCTTCAGAATTGTTTATAACAATGTTGAATACTAAATGATTATGTTAATGCCTTTATAATATTTAATATTTTATATAAATAAAATAAAATGTAGTGTCATTCTAGAATTCTGTACCCAGGAAAATCATTGTTCACATACAAAGGCAGGCAGGCCACAAACATTTTCCAAATATGTAAGCATGGAGAGAAGGTTGTTCTCATGATACTTTCTCTAAAAGTTTTCAAAGAGTAGCATTTTCCAATAGAACTTTCTGCAATGATGGAAATATCTGTATCTTCACCCTCCATTATGGTGAAATCTTCAACCCCACGTAGTTAGCTATTAAGCATCTAAAATGTCACTAGTGCAACTGGAGAACTGAATTTTATTAATTTTATCAACTTGTTAATTGATTAATAAGTTAAATTAATTTTATTAAGTTTATTTTTATTTTACTTTATTTGAGACAGGGTCTCGTTCTGTCACCCACGCTGGAGTGCCATGGCCTCAACTTCCCAGGCTCAAGCAAGCCTTCCACTTCAGCCTCCCTAGTAGCTGGGACTTACAGGTGTGTGCCTGGCTAATTTTTGTATTTTTTGTAGAGACAAAGTTTCATCATGTTGCCCACAGTGGTCTCGAACTCCTGGGCTCAAGCCATCCGCCCACCCCCACCTTCCAAAGTGTTGCGATTACAGGCGTCAGCCATCGCCTTATTTATTTTATTTTATTTTTTTTTTTTTGAGAGGGAGTCTCGCTCTGTCGCCCAGGCTGGAGTGCAGTGGCATGATCTTGGCTCATTGCAAGCTCCGCCTCCCGGGTTCACGCCATTCTCCTGCCTCAGCCTCCCGAGTAGCTGGGACTACAGGTGCCCGCCAACACGCCCGGCTAATTTTTTGTGTTTTTTTCAGTAGAGATGGGGTTTCACCTTGTTAGCCAGATGGTCTTGATCTCCTGACCTCGTGATCCGCCCGCCTGGGCCTTCCAAAGTGCTGGGATTACAGGCGTGAGCCAGCGCGTCCAGCCAATCGCCTTATTTTTAAGTTTAAATAGCTATGCATGGATATCTTTTTTATAGTGTAGAGTATTTCACACTGAAGAGAAGGTAAAATAGTTCCTTCCTTCCTTCCTTCCTTCCTTCCTTTCTTTCTTCTTTATCTCTTTCTTTCTTTCTCTTTCTTTCTTTCTTTTTAAATTTGAGACAGGGTTTTGTTCTGTCACCCAGGCCGGAGTGTAGTGGCACAGTCCTAGCTCACTTCGTCTCCAACTCCTAGTCTCAGGCGATCCTCCTGCATCAGCTTCCCAGATAGCTAGGACTACAGGTACACCCAACCACATCCAGCTAATTTTTTTTTTTTCCCAGACGGAGTCTTGCTCTCTCACCCAGGCTGGAGTGTAATGGCGTGATCACGGCTCACTGCAACCTCCGCCTTCCAGGTTCAAGTGATTCTCCCGCCTCAGCCTCCTGAGTCGCTGAGATTACAGGCGCCTGCCACCACGCCCAGCTAATTTTTTGTATTTTCAGTAGAGACTGGGTTTCACCATGTTGGCCAGGCTGGTCTCGAACTCCTGAATTCATGATTCGCCCGCCTTAGCCTCCCAAAGTTCTGGGATTACAGGCGTGAGCCATTGCGCCTGGTCTAATTTTTAAAATATGTTTTAGATTTGGGGGATTGGGAGGGTCTCTCTATGTTTCCTGGGCTGGTCTCCAACTCCTGGCCTCAAGCAATCCCCCTGCTTAGGCCTCATAAAATGCTTGGATTGAAGGCATGAGCCACTGTGCCCAGCCCAAAACAGCACTTTTTTTTTTTTTGAGACGGAGTCTCGCTCTGTCGCCCAGGTGGGAGTGCAGTGGTGCAATCTCGGCTCACTGCAATCTCTGACTCCTGGATTCAAGTGATTCTCCCACCTCAGTCTCCTGAGTAGCTGGGAAAATAGGCGTACGCCACCACGCCCAGCTAATTTTTGTATTTTTGGTAGAGATGTGATTTCAACCATGTTGGCCAGGTTGGTCTTGAACTCCTGACCTCAAGTGATCTGGCCACCTTGGCCTCCCAAAGTGCTAGGATTACAGGCATGAGCCACCACACCAGCTTACCCAGCATTCTCTACAGTCACACCCCCTATGGGGGAGATGAAAGGGAAAAAAGACAAAAAAAAAATTATAGGAGTCCGGGTGCAGTGGCTCACACCTGTAATCCCAGCACTCTGAGAGGCCGAGGCAGGTAGATCACTTGAGGTCAGGGGTTGGAGATCAGCCTGGCCAACCTGGTGAAACCCTGTATCTACTAAAAATACAAAAATTAGCTGGGCATGGCGGTATGTGCCTGTAATTCCAGCTAGTCGGGAGGCTGAGGCAGGAGAATCGCTTGAACCCAGGAGGCGGAGGTTGCAGTGAGCTGAGGTCACACCACTGCACTCCAGCCTGGGCCACAGAGACTCAAAAAAAAATTATAGGGAAAAAAAGAAAAAATTCTACCAGCATTAAAATAATTATAAAATGTATATTTTTGAGACAGGGTCTTACTCTGTTGCCCAGGTTACAATGCTATGATGTGATGATCATGGCTCACTGCAGCCTAAACCTCCCCAGGCTCAGGTGATTCTCACCTCAGCCTCCTGGGTAGCTTAGCCTCCCGGGCAGCCTCCCAGGTAGCTGGGACTACAGGCATGCATCACCATGCCTGGCTAATTTTTGTATGTTTGTAGAGACAGGGTTTTGCCATGTTGCTCAGGCCAGTCTTGAACTCCTGAGCTCAAGTGATTCACCCACCTCAACCTCCCAAAGTGCTGGAATTACAGGCATGATCCACCATGCCTGGCCTCCATACATCCATATTAACCTTGAACGTAAATAGTCCGAATGCCCCACTTAAAAGGCACAGGGTGTCAAGTTGGATTAAAAAAAACACTACCTATCCATCTACTGTCTTCAAGAGACCCATCTCACATGTAGTGACACCCATATGCTCAGAGTAAAGCATTGGAGAGAGATCTAGCCACAAACAGAACACAAGAAAGAGCAGGGTCACTATTCTTAATCAGATAAAGCAGACTTTAAACCAACAACAATAAAAATGGACAAAGAAAGGCATTATGCAGTGATAAAGAATTCAATTCAATAAGAAGACAAATATCCTAAATATATTTATACCCAATATTGGATCACCCAGATTTATGAGTCCTTCTAGACCTATGAAAAGACTTTGAAAGCCACACAATAATAGTAGGGTACTTCAACACCTGACTGACACTGCTAGACCGATCATTGAGGCAGAAAACTGACAAAAATAGGCTGGGCACAGTGGCTCATGCCTGTAATCCCAGCACTTTGGGAGGCTGAGGTGGGCAGATCACTTGAGGCCAGGAGTTCGAGACCAGTCTGGCCAACATGGTGAAACCCTATCTCTGTTTTGTAAAATACAAAAATTAGGTGGGCATGGTGGTGCACGCCTGTGTTCCCAGCTACTCAGGAGGCTGAGGCAGGAGAATCGCTTGAGCTGGGAGGTAGAGGTTGCAGTGAGCTAAGATTGCGCTACTGCACTCCAGCCTGGATGAAAGAGCGAGACTCTGTCTCAGACAAAAGAAAAAGAAAAAGGAAGGAAGGAAAGAAAAGAAAGAGGAAGGAAGGAAGGAAGGGAGAAAGAAGAAAGAAAGCTGACAAAAATTCTGGACTTAAATTCAACACTTGACCAATTGGACCTAATAGACATCTACAGAATACTCCACCCATCAACCACAGGAATATACATTTTTCTCATCTGCACATAGAACACATTCCACCACATGCCTGGCCATAAAGCAAGTTTCGATAAATTTAAAAAAACCTAAATCATAGCAACCATATTCTCAGACCTCGGTAGAATAAAAATGGAAATCAATACCAAGAAGATCTCTTTAAACCACACAGTTACATGGAAATTAAACAACTTGCTCCTAAAAGACTTTTGGGTAAATAGTGCAATTAAGGCAGAAGTAAAAAAATCTTTGAAATAAATGAAAACAGAGACATAACATACGGAAATCTCTGGGATACAGCAAAAGCAGTGTTAAGAGAAAAGTTTATGGTGCTAAACACCTACCTCAAAAAGTTAGAAAGATCTCAAATTAATGAGGTAACATCCCACCTAGAGGAACTGCAATTATTGGGGAACCTGCCCTGATAGTCACGTAAGTTCTTTTCTATTTTCCCTAAACATCCGCTGGTTTGAGAAATAAAGGGACAGAGTACAAAGAGAGAAATTTTAAAGCCGGGCATCTGGGGGAGACATCACATGTCGGTAGGTTCCACGATGCCCCACAAGCTGCAAAACCAGCAAGTTTTTATTAGGGAGTTTCAAAAGGGGAGGGAGTGTGCGAATAGGTGTGGGTCACAGATCACGTCTTTCATGAGGTAATAGAATATCACAAGGCAAATGGAGGCAGGGCGAGATCACATGACCACAGGACTGGGGTGAAATTAAAATTGCTAATGAAGTTTCGGGCACCATTGTCATTGATAACATCTTATCAGGAGACAGGGTTTTGAGATCAACCGGTCTGACCAAATTTATTAGGGGGGAATTTCCTCTTCCTAATAAGCCTGGGAGTGCTATGGGAGACTGGGGTTTATTTCATCCCTACAGTCTCGACCACAGAAGATGGCCACACCCAAGGGGGCCATTTATAGACCCACCCTCAGGGGTGCATTCTCTTTCTCAGGGATGTTCCTTGCTGAGAAAAAGAATTCAGCAATATTTCTCCCATTTGCTTTTGAAAGAAGAGAAATATGGCTCTTTTCCGCCCGTCTCACCGGTGGTCAGAGTTTAAGGTTATCGCTGTTATTCCCTGAACAATTGCTGTTATCCTGTTCTTTTTTCAAGGTGCCCAGATTTCATATTGTTCAAACACACATGTTCTACAATTTGTGCAGTTAACGCAATTATCACAGGGTCCTGAGGCGACATACATCCTCCTTGGTTTACGAGCTGACAGGATTAACAGATTAAAGTAAAGACAGGCATAGGAAATCATAAGGGTATTGATTGGGGAAGTGATAAGTGTCCATGAAATCTTCAGAGATTGCAGTAAAGACAGGCATAAGAAATTATAAAAGTATTAATTTGGGAAACTAATAAATGTCCATGAAATCTTCACAATCCACGTTCTTCTGCCATGGCTTCAGCGGGTCCCTCCGTTTGGGGTCCCTGACTTCCCGCAACACAATGGCCCCAAAGCTAGCAGGAGAAAAGAAATAATTAAAATCAGAGCAGAACTGAATGAAATTGGGACACAAACATCCATACAAAAAATCAATGAAACCAAAAGTTGGTTTTCTGAGAGGATAAACAAGATCGATAGGCCACTAGCTAGATTAACAAAGAAAAAAAGAGGCTGGGTGTGGTGGCTCATGCCTGTAACCCCAGCACTTTGGGAGGCCGAGGCAAGTGGATCACTTGAGGTCAGGGGTTCGAGACCAGCCTGGCCAACATGGTGAAACCCCGTCTCTACTAAAAATACAAAAATTAGCTGGGTGTGGTGGCGCACGCCTGTAATCCCAGCCACTTGGGAGGCTGAGGCAGGAGAATCACTTGAACCTGGGAGGTGGAGGTTGTGGTGAGCCAAGATTGCACCACTGCTCTTCAGCGTGGGCAGCAGAGTGAGACTGTATCTAAAATAAATAAATAAATAAATAATAAAAATAATAATAATAAAAAAATTTAAAAAACGAAGAAAAAAAAGACAGAATATCCAAATAAGCACAATCAGAAATGACATTACAACAAGTCCACAGTGATTTAAAAAAGATCCTCAAGATGAACACCTCTATGGACACAAACTTGAAAATCTGAAGGAAATGGATAAATTCCTGGAAACACACAATCTGCCAATTTTGAAGCAGGAAGAAATTGAAACCCTGAACAGACCAATATCAAGTTATGATTCTGAATCATTAAAAGGAGTCTACCAACCAAGAAAAGCCCCTGATCAGATGGATTCACAGCTGAATTCTACTACATGTACAAAGACTAAGACTAATCCTCCTGTATTAGTCCGTTCTCACACTGCTATAAAGGCATACCCAAGACTGGGTAATTTATAAAGAAAAGAGGTTTAATTGACTCACAGTTCTGCAAGGCTGGGGAAGCCTTAGGAAACTTATAGCAGAAGGAGAAGCAGACACATCTTACATGGTGGCAGGAGAGAGAGAATGAATGCAAGCATAGGAGAAACTGCCACTTTTAAAACCAGAAATCAGATCAGGCTGGGCACAGTGGTTCATGCCTATCATCCCAGCACTTTGGGAGGCTGAGGTGGGTGGATCACCTGAGGTCAGAAGTTCAAGACCAGCCTGGCCAACATGGTGAAACCCTGTCTCTACAAAAGTACAAAAATTAGCCAGACGTGGTGATGCATGCCTGTGATCCCAGCTACTTGAGAGGCTGAAGCGGGAGAATTGCTTGAACCTGGGAGGCACAGGTTGCAGTGAGCTGAGATCATGCCATTGCACTCCACCCTGGGCAACAGAACAAGACTCCATCTCAAAAAGAAATAAAAATAAATAAATAAATAAATAAAACCATCAGATCTCATGAGACTCATTATTGGGAGAACAGCATGGGGGGAACTGCCCCCATAATCCAATCACTTCCCTCCCTTGACACATGGGGATTAAAATTCAAAATGAGATTTGGGTGGGGACACAGAGCCAAACCACATCACCTACTAAAACTATTCCCAAAAAATTGAGGAGAGACCCCTCCCTAACTCATTCTAGGAAGCCAGTATCACCCTGATCCCAAAACCTGGCAAAAACAATGAAAAAATAAAACTGCTGGGTATGGTGGCTCACGCTTGTAATCCCTGCACTTTGGGAGAACTGAGGGAGGTGGATCCTTGAGGTCAGGAGTTCGAGACCAGCCTGGCCAACATGGTGAAACCTCATCTCTACTAAAAATACAAAAATTAGCCGGGTGTGGTGGTGCATGCCTATAGTTCCAGCTACTTGGGAGGCTGAGGCAGGAGAATCGCTCGCACTTGGGAGGTGGAGGTTGCAGTGAGCCCAGATCGCAGCACTGCACTCCAGCCTGGGAGACAGAGTGAGACTGTCTAAAAAAAAAAAAAAAAAAAAAAAAAAAAAAAAAGAAAGAAAGAAAAGAAAACTACAGGCCAATATCCCTGATGAAAATGGATGCAATAATCTTCAACAAAATACTAGCAAACTGAATCCAGCAGCACATCAAAAAGTTAATTCATGAGGCCGAGATAGGTGGATCACTTGAGGCCAGAAATTCAAGACCACCCTGGCCAATATGGTGAAACCCATCTTTACTAAAAATACAAAAATTAGCTGGGTGTGTTGGTATGTGCCTGTAATCCTAACTATTCAGGAGGCTGAGGCATGAGAATTGCTTGAACATGGGAGGCGGAGGTTGCAGTGAGCCGAGATCATGCCATTGCACTCCAGACTGGGTGACAGAGTGAGACTCTATCTCAAAAAAAAAAAAAAAAAAAAAAACAGATGCAGTGGCTCATGCCTGTAGTCCCAGCACTTTCGGAGGCTGAGGTGGGCAGATTACCTGAGGTCCTAAGTTTGAGACCAGCCTGGCCAATATAATGAAACCCTGTCTCTACTAAAAATACAGAAATTAGCCAGGCATTGTGGCCCACACCTGTAGTCCCAGCTACTCAGGAGGCTGAGGCAGGAGAATCACTTGAACCCAAGAGGTGGAGGGTGCAGTGAGCCAAGATCGCACCACTGCACTCCAGCCTGGGTGACAGAGTGAGAGCCCATGTCAAAAAAAAAAAAAAAAAGGCCGGGCGCGGTGGCTCAAGCCTGTAATCCCAGCACTTTGGGAGGCCGAGGCAGGCGATCACAAGGTCAGGAGATCAAGACCATCCTGGCTAATGTGGTGAAACCCCATCTCTACTAAAAATACAAAAAAAAAAAAAATTAGCCGGGTGTGGTGGAGGGCGCCTGTAGTCCCAGCTACTCGGGAGACTGAGGCAGGAGAATGGCATGAACTTGGGAGGTGGAGCTTGCAGTGAGCCGAGATTGCACCACTGCACTCCAGCCTGGGCTACAGAGCGAGACTCCATCTGAAAAAAAAAAGAAAGAAAGAAAAAAGAAATCTTAGATGACACCAGCAAATGGAAAAACATTCGATGCTCATGTATTGGAAAAATCATTATCGTTAAAATGGTATACTGCCAAAAGCAATCTACAGATTCAACATTATTTATTTATCTATTTATTTTTTGGAGACAGAGTCCTCTGTCACCCAGGCTGGAGTGCAATGGTGCAATTTAGGCTCACTGCAACCTCCGCCTCTCAGGTTCAAGCCATTCTCCTGCCTCAGCCTCCTGAGTAGCTGGGATTACAGATGCCTGCCACCACACCTGATTCATTTTTGTATTTTAGTAGAGACAGGGCTTTACCATTTTGCCCAGGCTGATCTCGAACTCCTGAGCTCAGGTGATCCGCCCCCCTTGGCCTCCCAGAGTGCTAGTATTAGAGGTGTGAGCCACCACACCCAGCCTAAACATTATTCCTATCAAGGTACTGTGTCCAGAGTTGGTTCCTTCTGGTGGGTTTGTGGTCTCGGTGACTTCAAGAATGAAGCCGTGGACCTTCACCGTGTGACAGCTCTTAAAGGTGGCACAGACCCAAAGAGTGAGCAGCAGCAAGATTTATTTTGAACAGTGAAAGAACAAAGCTTCCACATCGTGGCAGGGGACCCGAGCGGGTTGCCACTGCTGGCTGTGGATGGCCAGCTTTTATTCCCTTATTGGCCCTCCCATGTTCCATTTCTGTCCTATCAAAGTGCCTTTCTTTTTTTTTTGAGACGGAGTCTCACTCTGTCCCCCAGGCTGGAGGGCAGTGGCACGATCTTGGCTCACTGCAAGCTCCGCCTCCCGGATTCACGCCATTCTCCTGCCTCAGCCTCCCGAGTAGCTGGGACTACAGGCACCTGCCACCACGCCCGGCTAATTTTTTGTATTTTTAGTAGAGATGGGGTTTCACCATGTTAGCCAGGATAGTCTCAATCTCCTGACCTTGTGATCCGCCTGCCTCAGCCTCCCAAAGTGCTGGGATTACAGGCGTGAGCCACCACGCCTGGCCTCATGTACAGGCTTTTGTGCAGACCTGAGTTTTTAGTTCATTTGGATAAATATCAAGGAGCTCGACTGCTGGATTGTGTGGTAAGAGCATGTTTAGTTTTCTAAGGAACTGCCAACTCTCTTCCAAACTGGCTGTATACCATTTTGCATTCCCACCAACAATGAATGGCCCTTCCTATTGCTTTTCATTCTCACCAGCATTTGGTGTGTAATTTCTGAATAAAATCCTTTGTGTTTTCCAAGTATACAGTTATTTTGATCTGAAAATAATAATTTTTCCTCCATTCTGATTTCTCTGTCTCTATATTCTACCTCTTGTCAAATTATATTGGCTAACACATCCAGAAAAATATTAAGTAATAGCTGTAAAAATGGATAAACTGCTTTTGTTCTTGACTTCAAGTTTGGGAGCACTTTTATGGTGCCCCCATTAAGTATGATGCTGAATAATTTTTTGTATTTTTAGTAGAGATGGGGTTTCACCATGTTAGCCAGGATGGTCTTGATCTCCTGACCTTCTGATCCGCCCACTTCGGCCTCCCAAAGTGCTAAGATTATACAGTGAGCCACCGCCCAGCCCAGAGTGCACTTTTTTCAATCCTCCCTGCAATTGGCTACTTTTAGGATCCTGCTGATTGGTGCATTTTACAGAACACTGATTGGTGCATTTTACAGCATGCTGATTGGTGTGTTTTACAGAGTGCTGATTGGTGCATTTTACAATCCTCTTGCTAGCTACAGCGTGCTGATTGGTGCGTTTTACAGAGCGCTGATTGGTGCATTTTACAATCTGCTTGCTAGCTACAGAGCGCTGATTGGTGCGTTTTACAGAGCACTGATTGGTGCATTTTACAATTCTCTTGCTAGCTACAAAGCATTGATTGGCGCATTTTTACAGAGTGCCGATTGGTGCATTTTACAATCCTCTTTAAAGACAGAAAAGTTCTCCAAGTCCCCACTCAACCCAGGAAGTCCAGCTGGCTTCACCTGTCACTACCAACGTCATTTTTCAAGGAACTAGAAAAAATTATTCTAAAATCTACATGGAATCAGAAAGACTCTGAATAGCGAAAGCAATCCTAAGTGGAAAGAATAAAGCCAGAGGCATCACATTACTGGACTTCAAGCTATACTACAAGGCTACAGTAACCAAAACAGCATGGTATTGGTTAAAAAAAAAACAACACCTATGGTCATCTGATCTTTGGCAAGGTTGATAATAACAAGCAAAGGGGAAAGAACACTGTATTCAATAAATTGTGCTAAGATAGTTGGCTAGCTATATGCAAAAGAATAAAACTGGAGCCCCACTTTTCACCGTATATTAAAATTAACTCAAAACAAATTGAGAATTTAAATGTAACCCTTCAAGCTATAAGAATCGTAGAAGAAATCCTGGGAAACACCATTCTGGACATTGGCTTTGGGAAATAATTTATGACTAAATCCTCAAAAGCAATTGCAACAAAACCAAAACTTGACAAATGGGACCTAATTAAAGCAAAGAACTTCTGCACAGCAAAAGAACCTATCAACAGAGTAAACAGACAACTTACAATGGGAGAAAATATTCATAATTTATGCATCCAACAAAGGTTCAATATCAGAATCTATAAGGAACTTAACTGAACAAACAAGAAACAAATATCCCCATTAAAAATGGGCAAATGGCTGGGAGAGGCGGCTCACACCTGTAATCCCAGAACTTTTGGAGCCCAAGGAGGGCAGATTACGAGGTTGGGAGTTCAAGACCAGCCTGTCCAACATGGTGAAACCCCAACTCTATTAAAAATACAAAAAGTAGCCAGGCGTGGTGGTGTGCGCCTGTAATCCCAGCTACTTGGGAGGCTTAGGCAGGAGAATTGCTTGAACCCAGGACATAGAGGGTGCAGTGAGCCAAGATTGTGCCATTGCACTCCAGCCTGGGCAATACAGTAAGACTCCATGTAAATAAATAAATATATAAATAAATAAATAAAATAAAATGGGCAAAACACATAAATAGGAACTTCTCAAAAGAAGACATACAAGTGGCCCACAAACATATAAAAAAATGCTCAACATCACTAATCATCAGAGAAAAGCAAATGAAAATCACAATTAGATACCATCTCACACCAGTCGGAATAGCTATTATTAAAAAGCCAAAAAATAACATGCTGTTGAGGCTGCAGAGAAATGGGAACACTTATACTCTGTTGGTGAAAATGTAAATTAGTTCAGTTACTGTGGAAAGCAGTTTGGAGATTTCTTTTCTTTTTTTTTTCTTCAAGACAGAGTCTTGCTCTGTCACGCATGCTGGAGTGCAGTGGTACGATCTCGGCTCACTGCAACTTCTGCCTCCCAGGGTCAGGCAATTCTCCTGCCTCAGCCTCCAGAGTAGCTGGGATTACGGTCACCCACCACCACACCCAGCTAATTTTTGTGTTTTTAGTAGAGACAGGGTTTCACCATGTTGGCCAGGCTGGTCTCAAACTCCTGACCTAAGGTGATCTGCTCCACTCGGCCTCCCAAAGTGCTGGGATTACAGGCGTGATCCACTGTGCCCGGCCTGGAGATTTCTTAAATAACTTAAAACAGAACTACCATTTGATCCAGCAATCCCATTACTGGGTATACATCCAAAAGAAAATAAATTATCCTACCAAAAAAACACATGCATTTGTATGTTCATTGCAGCACTGTTCACAATAGCAATGACATGGAGTCAACCTCGGTGCCCATCGATGGTGGACTGGATAAAGAAAATGTACAAACACGCTATGGAATACTTCACAGCCATAAAAAGTATGAAGTCATGTCTTTTGCTGAAATATGAATGTAGCTTGAGGCTGTTATCCTAAGTGAAATAATGCAGGAACAAAAATCCAAATGCTACATGCTCTCAGTTATAAGTAGAAGCTAAATAATGAGTATTCGTGGATATAAGGATGGTAACAACAGGCCAGATGCAGTGGCTCACGCCTGTAATCCCAGCACTTTGGAAGGCTGAGATGGGTGGATCACGAGGTCAGGGGTTTGAGACCAGCCTGGCCAACATGGTGAAACTCTATCTCTTCTAAAAATACAAAAATTAGCTGGGTGTGGTGGCGGTCACCTGTAATACCAGCTACTTGGGAGGCTGAGGCAGAATCACTTGAACCTGGGAGGCAGAGGTTGCAGTGAGCCGAGATTGCGCCATTGTACTCCAGCCTGGGCAACAAGGGCGAAGCTTGGCCTCAAAAAAAAAAAACAAACAACAACAACAAAAAAAAACAAAACCTGAAAATCTAATATTTAAAATTAAGAACTCAATGTATAGATTTAACAGCAGATTGGAGATTATAGAAGATAGACTCAATAACCTGAAAAACAGAAAACCTTCAAACTGAATAATTGAAAAAAAAATTGACATCACAAAGTGTAAAAGACACGGTGAACAAGATCAAATAATCTTACATATGGGCTGGGTGCCGTGGCTCATGCCTGTAATCCCAGCACTTTGGGAGGCTGAGGCAGGTGGATCACCGGAGGTCAGGAGTTGAAGACCGGCCTGACCAACATGGTGAAACCCTATCTCTACTAAAAATACAAAAATTAGCCGGGCGTGGTGGTGGGCGCTTGTAATTCTGGCTACTCGATAATAATACTATTATAATAGTATTATCTACCTCAGTAGATAATACTGCTGAGGCAGGATTATCGCTTGAACCCGGGAGGCAGAGGCAGAGGTTGCAGTGAGACGAGATTGCGCCACTGCACTCCAGCTTGAGCAAAAAGAGTGAAACTCTGTCTCAATAATAATAATAATAATCTTACATATGTAATTGGTGTCTCGGAGAACAGGCATAGAGAATGCAGCAAAAACCATATCTGAAGAGATAATGATTGAGAATTTCTCAAAACTGATGCAAGACATCTACCCACAAATCAGAGAAACTCAATGATATCCAAGACAGATAAATACAAAGAAAACAAAGATAGGGCACAAAATAAATGGCTAAAAATCACTAACAGGCTGGGTGCGGTGGCTCACGCCTGTAATCCCAGCACTTTGGGGGGCTGAGGCGGGCAGATCACGAGGTCAGGAGATCGAGATTATCCTGGCTAACTTGGTGAAACCCGGTCTCTACTAAAGAAATACAAAAAAAATTAGCCAAGCGTGGTGGTGGACGCCTGTAGTCCCAGCTACTCAGGAGGCTGAGGCAGGAGAATGGCGTGAACCCGGGAGGCAGAGCTTGCAGTGAGCCGAGATGGCGCCACTGCACTGCAGCCTGGGCGACAGAGCGACACTCCTCTAAAAAAAAAAAAAAAATCACTGACAAAGAGAAACTGTTAAAAAGAAGTGAGAGGGCCTGGTGTGGTGGTTCACGCCTGTAATTCGAGCACTGTGGGAGGCCCAGGTGGGAGGATCACTTGAGCTCAGGGGTTCAAGACCAGCCTGGGCAACATAGGGAGATGTCATCGCTACAAAAATAATGATAGTAATAGTAATAAAAAATTAGCCGGGCGTGGTGCAGGAGCCTGTGGTCGCAGGTACCCTGGAAGATGAGGTGGGAGGATCGCTTGAGCCCAGGAGGCAGAGGTTACAGCGAGCCTAGGGTGTGCCACGGCACTCCGGCTTGGGCGAGACAGCAAGACCCTGTTTGGAAAAAAAAAAAAAAGAAAAGAAAAAAGAAAAAAAAATCAACAGTAATTGCAGCCATTGCTTAGAACTAAGACTAAACAAAGCTTTTGTTTGGAAAGGAGTACTTTTTCATTAACATTGTTTAGAATTTTCTGACACATGATGATAATTAAAAGCAAACCATCCTGCAGTTGGCTTCGGTATTGTTTTTATCTTCTCCACCATCAATGCATATCCTTACTGCCTACACAGGCTCTCAGCAACGCACTGTTGGTTTTCCATTGCAGTCACCTCCACTTTATTCTTCCAGATCGAGTATGTTCAAAACTGAACTCATCTTCCGCCATAAATCTGCTATTATTATGTTTTTGCCTGTCAGGACATCGGCTTATAATTTTGGAAAGCATTCACAGTTGGGGCGGGTAAGACATAGATAAAGAGGCCAATCACAATACCAGGGGTAAGATCAATAGGAAAACCAGAGAGCGGACGCCTGGGCCAGGCCTCACAACGTCCAGAGCTGGAATGGGTCTTTTGCTTTCGGCGCAGGGGTGACGGGATCAGCGGAGGGTAGGGGTGTACACTAGCTGCGGTCTGATTTAGCCCTTTTAGGTTAAAAGCTGGAGAAGGGGCTGAAGTCTCAAACGCGCTTAGCAGCTCCTGAACGCGGTTCCCATCCCAGCGCGTTCTGAGGGAGGCCGGGGCTAAGGACGCGGTGACGGGCGGGGGCGGGGCGGCCCCGGGTCGGGAGGCGGGGCGGGAGCGCCGGAAGCGGGCGGTGCCAGGCCCAGCCTCGCAGGCGGAAGGGCGCGGAGGAGGTGACGCGATAGGCCAGCGCCGGCGTCGCGGCAGCCGCTTCAGAGGAAGCTCGGCGGCTGTGGCCGCGGCGAACAGGCCGGACGCCTCGTCGCTGGCGGGGCTTCCCTTGGAGCTGACGAAGGCGGGGTCCGCGGTCCAGGCTGCTGCCGCGACGGGGCCGGCGGCGGGGCAGCTGCCAGGAACGAGGGTAGCAGGTAAGCGGGGACGCGGGCAGACGAGTGACGGACTCAGCGATCGCCTGGCGGGGCTGGCTGGGGCCATTCCCGCGCCGGTGCGCCACCTCAGCGCCCGGTCCGGAGGCCTCGAGCCGCCCTCCCCCGCCCGAGCTGGAGGCCGCCGTCCGTCTCGGCCACAGCCTCCCTTTCCGGGGGAGGCGAGCGAGCTCGTCCCGAGGGGCCGCTGCCCTGCGCTCTCGCTCCAGCCGGGCTGTGCGTCGCAGGCACCGGGAAGCTGGCGCCCCCCAGCTCCTCCTGAAGCCGGGAAAGCTCTGAGAGGAGGAGCCGCTGTCACAGGCCTCCAGCTCCGGCCGCCGTGGAAGTCCGGGGTTTTTATTTGCTTAGACCGCTCTGCCTCCTTCCGGCCTTCGTTTCTTTCCTCGCGCTCCCCGGGACCCTTTTCCAGAGAGCCCGGTTGGGCATGAGCGCGGTGGGAGACGTCTTTTCCCTTCGGTCTGCTCTGAGCGGTATCAGCCTCCGCTCTACGCCCTGTGGCCACTCTGTCGGGGTGGAGGGATGCGGAGAGGATGTGGGAGTTTTGGACTTAGAGCGAGAATAGCCGAGGTGAAATCCTACCCTGCTCTCTGGTAGTGTTTTTCATCTCATGCTAGATAGACATTTCGACCTTTTTCACCGCAGGTAAAGTGGGACTTTCTTCTACCAATGTAAATTATAATGTTTGGAGAATTAAATGAAGAAAGCAGACGTTAGTTATGAAATGTTTTGAGAATCTGGTTAAATTTAATTTAAGAATATCCAGGACACTTCATGATAGGTTCCTACTTATGTTTTTTTTTTGCATTTTGCCCGGAATAACTAAGCTTGGTATGGAAAAGGTTGCCTAGAGATGCCAGGCGCTCGTGTGGTCAGAGCCTAACTGCAGTCTCTGTTTTGGGTGGGCAGCATCAGGAAGAAACCAGACTCTCTCCTAGCCATCCACATGTCTCACGCTTATTGATGGCATATTATTGGTATATGAGGGATGGCTTATATCAGTTTTGATCTTTACTCAAGATAGCTTTTTCCCAGTGCATCTTTTCTAGGAGAAAAGCTTGGTATGTAGAGGAGGGTGCTGGGGAGGGGGGCTTCATTTACACCTGGGCTCACAATTTTTTTTTGGAGGGGGGACAGGGTCTCACTCTGACACCCAGCCTGGAGTGCAGTGGCGCGATCTTTTCAGCTCACTGCAACCTCCTCCTCCCAGGTTCAAGCGATTCTCCTGCCTCAGCCTCCAGAGTAGCTGGGATTACAGGTGCCCGCCATCGCGCCCGGCTAATTTTTGTATTTTTAGTAGACATGGGGTTTCACCATGTTGGCCAGGCTGGTCTCGACCTCCTGACCTCAAGTGATCTACCTGCTTCCGCCTCTCAAAAGTGCTGGGATCAGCCGGGCGCGGTGGTTGACGCCTGTAATCCCAGCACTTTGGGAGGCCGAGGCGGGCAGATCACCTGAGGTCGGGAGTTCGAGATCAGCCTAACCAACATGGTGAAACCCCATCTCTACTAAAAATACAAAATTAGCCAGGCGTGGTGGCGCATGCCTGTAATCCCAGCTACTCGGAAGGCTGAGGCAGGAGACTAGCTTGAACCCGGGAGGCGAGGTTGTGGTGAGCTGAGATAGTGCCATTACACTCCAGCCTGGGCAACAAGAGCAAAACTCCGTCTCAAAAAAAAAAAAAAAAAAAAAAAAAGGTGCTGGGATTACAGGAGTGAGTCACTGCGCCTGGGCTATATTACTTTCTAAATCAGCCTTTTTTTTTTTTTTTGGTAGGCCATTATGTGAATCCTTCAAAAATCATAGAAAAATTGAAATTTAACAATATTTTGCTTTTATTCTAGCTTGTCATAAACCCAGTGCTCTATACACAGGCCTGCCTTTCTGCCTCCTTCATCCTGGCATGCATGGCCATTTACTTTGTGTTATTAGCCAGCTTCCTATGGAGCTCAGTTTGAGAACGGGGTTCTGTGCTTCTCTAGTTGCCAAACATCTGATTGAAGTAGATCACCTTGGCATTTGCGATATTAAGCATGTCTTTGCGAATTTTTAGTTCCTTTTTCTTTTCTTGGTTAGATTGTACTCTGTCACTGATTTAAAGAATTTGGTAGACGCTCAGAAAGGGTCAACTGGTAAGGTGGTCACAGTGCTTTACATGTATTTTTCTTACCTATTATGGTGAAACCCTTGTGACTTTTTTTGGGCGTGGGTAATATTTTCAAAATTAAGGTAAATAGGCCATCAGGCTGCGTTGAACTTTCTCTTTTAGGGAAATATATTCATTCTCCAATTATTCTTTGGTAGCCTTCTTATTGCTTTAGCAATTCCTACTCTATTATTAGTAGAGCCGGAAATGGACCCTACATCACAGATTCTCCAAATATACTAAATTATTTTTTCTCTAAAATGATCATGTTTATAGCATGTTGATTTTCTTTTTTTTTCTTTTGAGACAGAGTTTCACTCTTGTGCAGGCTGGAGGGCAACAGCTTGATCTCTGCTCACTGCAACTTCCGCCTCCCGGGTTCAAGTGATTGTCCTGTCTCAGCCTCCCAAGTAGCTGGGATTACAAGCGCCCACCACCACGCCCGGCTAATTTTTGTATTTTTAGTAGAGATGGGGTTTCACCATGTTGGCCAGGCTGGTCTTGAACTCCTGACCTCAAGTGATCTCTCCGTCTCAGCCTCCCAAAGCGCGGGGATTACAGGTGTGAGCCACTGTATCCGGTCAGCAGCATGTTGATTTTCTACAACCAGATGACAAAGGATATCCTAAAGTCAGTGATTTAAAAAGTCATGTTGGCTTGGTGCGGTGGCTCATGCCTGTAATCCCAGCACTTTGGGAGGCCGAGGCGGGTGGATCACGAGTCAGGAGTTAGAGAACAGCCTGGCCAACATGGTGAAACTCCGTCTGTACTGAAAATACAAAAAAATTAGCTGGGCATGGTGGCGGGCGCCTATAATCCCAGCTACTCGGGAGGCTGAGGCAGGAGAATCGTTTGAACCCATGAGGTAGAGGTTGCAGTGAGCCGAGGTTGCACCATTGCATTCCAGCTTTGGCAACAGGGTGAGACTCTGTCTCAGAAAAAAAAACAAAAAACAAGTGATGGTAACACATAGGTTGTCTAATACATTCAGAGTCTAGAGAGACCTGGTATGTATCTGAGAAACCAAATAGCTGAATCTCTAAAATTTTATTTTTGTGTCTGGAATACCTTAATTCTGAAGTTTTAGTTGTTGTTGAATTTCACATTCTGACAGGAGACAAGTAGAGGTACATGTGAAGGGTTAGTATGAACCCAGGGTTACAGTTTCAATCTAAACTGATACTGCAGAGTTAACATTGAAACAAAGCAGCTCTAGGGAGCTGGCAAAAATTGAAGGTTAGAAGTCACTTGCTGGCTCTTGAGGCAGTCTTCTGACTCTGAAACTACTTGAGACTAAAATTTTCAAGAATTTTTTAACTTAATTTTGTAAAGATATAATTTACGGCCTGGTGCAGTGGCTCATGCCTGTAATCCCAGCACTTAGGGAGGCCGAGGTGGGTTGATCACCTGAGGTCAGGAGTTTGAGACCAGCCAACATAATGAGACCCCATCTCTACTAAAAATACAAAAATTAGCTGGGCATGGTGGCACACACTCGTACTCCTAGCTACTCAGGAGGCTGAGGCAGGAGAATCTCTTGAACCTGGGAGGTGGAGGTTGCAGTGAGTCGAGATCAGGTCACTGCACTCCAGCCTGGGTGACACAGTGAGACTCCATCTCCAAAAAAAAAAAAAAAAATACAGTCAAATACATAGACCTTAAGGGTTTTTATTTTTTAAAGCATATGTACACAAAATGGAAGACAGAAAAATAGCAAAACATTTTGGAAGCTGGAATGCAGATTGATTTAAGCAGTCTGCCCGCCTTGGCCTCCCAAAGTGCTGGGATTACAGGCGTGAGCCACCACACTTGGCCGATATAACTTTTTCGTAGTGAAGCTTCAGTTAACCTGTACGGTGGCTGCGCTGTGAACTTTCACCCAAATATTGGGCTCCTTAAGGGGCTGTTTAGGCTTGGGGCTGTCCTAGGGTCGGTGAGTATCTAGTAAGAGTGTAAACCTTCTATTTCCCTTGTGTGCGTGTTTTATCTTTGAAGGAATGTTGATATTTGGTCAGTATGAACATACAGCAGCATGGCTGGGAATACAGGGGCAGAAATGTAAAGGAAACGCATGTGAAGTTTGCTTTTAATTACTGGACCGTTGTATTCAAGAACCTTCAATGGCAGTATCTTGTCTTTGCTCCAGGGTCAGATTCCCTAAAGAAGAAGGGATCTCCTACTTGGAGAGTACAAATTGGGCTTCCAGCAGTCTGGCTTCTATACTTAGGGAAAGGCTGGAGGTCTTAGTATTCGTTATGTAAACACTCATTCTTGTTCATTTAACTCAACTATTTTCAGTAAGATGACCTCATTCTCAACTGGACCAGTTGAAAAGCTTTCCAGTCCAGGAATTCTTTGTTTTTACATAGGATTGTTTTAAGCTGCTACGTGTGGTTAGTGGCTACCATATTGGATAGCGGAGCTGCACTATCCAGTGTGGTAGCCACTAGCCACATGTAGCAGCCTAAATCTAAATAATTAAAATTAAAGGTTTAGTTCCTCACTTGCACTAGACATGTTTCAAGTGCTCAATGGCCACATTTGCCCAGAGGCTACCGTATTGGGCAGAGCAGATATAGAATATTTCTGTCATTGCAGAAATTTTATTGGGCTGTGCTGTTCTAGTCTAGAGAAGAAGACTCCAGGTGTCTGCAAGGATGGGTAGGGGACAGTTGGCTGGTTTTGTGGCATGTGGGAGGATATTTAAATCATTTGACCAATCCTTTTATTTTTAGCGTCATATTCATATTCACATCCCTCTGTAGAACAATTCCTGACCTGTTTTGAGGTATTGTTCTTTAGATTGCTTTCCTCCCTGCAAGCTTGAGATTTAACTTTTTTTTTTTTTTTTTTTTTGGAGACGGAGTCTCGCTCTGTTGCCCAGGCTGGAGTGCAGTGGCGTGAACTTGGCTCACTGCAACCTCCACCTCCCAGGTTCAAGCAATTGTCCTGCCTCAGCCTCCCAAGTAGCTGAGATTACAGGCACATGCCACCATGCCCGGCTAATGTTTGTATTTTAGTAGAGACGGGGTTTCTCCATGTTGGTCAGGCTGGTCTTGAACTCCTGACCTCAGGTGATTCGCCTGCCTCGGCCTCCCAAAGTGCTGGGATTACAGGCGTGAGCCACCGCGCCCGGCCCCAGCCGAGACTTAACGTCTTTAGATCTTTAAGTCAATCCACATTCCAACTTTCAAAATGTTTTTGCTGTTGTTCGGTGTTCCATTTTGTGTACATATGCTTTAAAAAAACAAAAGCCCTTCAGGTTTATGTATTTCACTGTAGGTAAATTATATCTTTAAAAAATTAAGTTAAAAAATTCTTGGCAGCCGGGCGTGGTGGCTCACGCCTGTAATCCCAGCACTTTGGGAGTCTGAGGCGGGTGGATTGCGAGGTCAGGAGATCAAGACCATCCTGGCTAACACGGTGAAACCCCATCTCTACTAAAAATACAAAAAATTAGCCGGGTGTGGTGGCGGGCGCCTGAAGTCCCAGCTACTCGGGAGGCTGAGGCAGGAGAATCCTTGAACCTGGGAGGCGGAGCTTGCAGTGAGCTGAGATGTGCCACTGCACTATAGCCTGGGTGACATAGTGAGACTCCATCTCAAAAAACAAAACAAAACAAAAAACATAATTTAATTTTAATTAGTTATTTAGGAATGGGTCTTGCTGTGTTGCCCAGGTTGGTCTCAAATTCTTGACCTCAAAGGATCCTTCTGCCTCAGCCTCTTGAGTAGCTGGGATTATAGACATGCACCATGGTGCCTGGCTGGTTTTTTCTTTTAAAAAATTAATTTATTGGCTCACACCTGTAATCTTAGGTACTCAGAAGGCTAAGTCAGGAGGATTACTTGATTGAGCCTGGGAGTTTGGGGCTTCAGTGAGCCATGGCTGACAGAATGAGACCTTTTTTTTTTAAAAAAAAAAAAAGATAAAGGACAATTTTTTTATTCTTAATGAAGTTTTAAGAGGGAATGATGGTAAAATGTGTCTGCTTAATCTGCAGTCTTTATCCAGAAGTAAAGTGCTTCATCAGAATTTAAACATGTATAAGAATCTCCACTAAAAAAATGTTTGAGCTTTACCCAGGCTTCTTGAACAATTTTTATATATCGCCTTTTTTGTTCCACCTTGGTTTTTGTCCTTTCCATTGTACTAAAATTTCTCCTGCAAATGTCAAGAGAATTCAGTGAACACTTTTAATCCTTATCTTGCTCGACTTCTCAACAACCTTTAACTGACCATTTCCCTCTTTTTAGAAACCTGTTCTAGCTTTGCTGATACCACCTTTACCTGATTTTTGACCTTATCTCCCTGGTCATTTTTTTTCACTTTCCTTTGCTTAGTCTTTCTTTATTTCTTAAATCCTGGAGTTCCAGCTGGGCACACCTGTAATCCCAGCACTTTGGGAGGCTGAGTTGGGTGGATCACCTGAGGTCAGAGGTCGAGACCAGCCTGACCAACATGGAGAAACCCGGTCTCTACTAAAAATACAAAATTGGCTGGGCGTGGTGGCGCATGCCTGTAATCCCAGCCACTTGGGAGCCTGAGGCAGGAGAATTGCTTGAACCCGGGAGGCGGAGGTTGCAGTGAGCTGAGATCGTGCCATTGTACTCCAGCCTGGGCAACAAGAGTGGGAAAAAAAAAAAAATTCCTAGAGTTCCTTGGGCTATTGCCCTAGGGTACATTCTCTCATTCTCTTCTACCTTTTACAAATTCTTTCTAGGTGATCTTATCATTTTCTATAGCTTTGGTTACTCTAAGCTGAAAACTGGAATTCACATGATGTCCTCTTTTCAGAATTCTTGAACTGTATATCTAGCTGTATATATCCACTTGGACTTCTAATGGTCATCTCAAATTGAACATGTGAAAGACTAAAGGCATAGTCAGTATAACCTTCCCCTAATCGATCTCCGTCTGTGTTTCGTATCAGTGATACCACTATCTACCTAGTAGCTGATACTGGAACATTTACCCCCAACAGATAGGCTTTTGACAAATGACAAGTCCTGTCATTTCTGTGTCCTGAAGATTGATTCACTTTGCTACATCCTCCCAGTTTTTCTCTTAATCCAAGAAGCTGTCCCACTGTATCTGCATTGATTTACCTGTAACAGATTCCTAATGGGTTTCTTCTGCTGTGGCCTTCTCCTTGCCATTCTGCACATTGCAGGTAGAATGATTTTTTTCAAGAATATGAATCAGATCTTTGTCTTTCAGTGGCTTCACACCAACCTTATGTTAAGTGTCAGCATCGTGAATTTAGCTCTTCTGTTCCTCATCTACCCCTTCCGTGCCTCTAAGTGTTACTGAAGTTCTTTCCATTCCTTGAAATACTGAATTCCCTCTCTTTCCTAGGAACTCTTGCTCATCATTTGTCTCAGCTGAAAAATAATTTCTTCAGAGAAAAAATAATTTCTTCAGAGAGGTGTTTCCTGACCCTTTTGCCAGATATTTCCATTGTACCCTGAATTTGACTTTTTTTAATTTTTATTTTATTTTTTTATTTTTTTGAGACAGGGTCTTGCTCTGTCACCCAAACTAGAGTACAGTGGTGTGATCATAGCTCAGTGAAACTTTGACCTCCCATGCCCAAGCGATCCTTCCACCTCACCCTCCTGAGTAGATGGGAACACAGGCATGTACCACCACTTTTGGCTATTTTTTTTGGAGACAGGATCTCCCTGTGTTGCCCAGGCAGGTGATCTTGAAATCCTGGGCTCAAGCGATACTCCACCTCTGCCTCCCAAAGTGCTGGGATTACAGGCATAAGCCACCATGCCTGGCCAATATTGGCAGTATACCATAGTAAGCGTTTATTTGAATTACATGTTTATTTCATATTAAGAAGTTTGTTTATATAGAAGTGATTTTTCCACTGATAAAGTAAAATATGATATTCTAAACTAGAGGTTCCCAAACTTTCTCTGTTTACACCCTCCTTAATATATTTTTTACATGTCCCTAAGCTTAACAGTTTGATTTATTAAATAATTAGGTTCAGACAGCTTAAGAAGTATTTATGGGCCAGGCGCTGTGGCTCACGCCTGTAATTCCAGCAGGCGGATCATGAGGTCAAGAGATCGAGACTATCCTTGCTAACACAGTGAAACCCCTTCTCTACTAAAAATACAAAAAAAATTAGCCGGGCCTGGTGGCGGGCGTCTATAGTCCCAGCTAGGCTGAGGCAGGAGAATGGCGTGAACCCGGGAGGCGGAGCTTGCAGTGAGCCGAGATTGCGCCACTGCACTCCAGCCTGGGCGACAGAGCGAGATTCTGTCTCAAAAAAAAAAAAAAAAAGAAAAGAAAAAAGTATTTATGTTCTTTCA